>NC_000004.12:96800168-97103199 GCF_000001405.40 Homo sapiens | reverse complement strand
TCAAAGTCACACAAGTATGATGAGACCAGTTTCTGGTTCCTAAGCTGCCTTTCCCCACCGAATCACAGTGGTGGCAGCATGAAGGCCCAGTGAATATATACTTTTACATATGAGCCCAAGGCTGTGTTATTAGGCCAATGCCATATCTACTATTATTTCTGGTTCCATTTAATATGGCCTAAATATTATTAAGGCATTACACCATTTAGTTTGCTAATAGATTATGAACTAAGTTTGACATCTTCAATTAGTTTGGAAAACGAACTATTTAAATGTAAGTTTTGTTCAAAAATAATTTTGACTAGATATTTTTGAAATATCAAATTTAGCAATGAGGGTTTTGTGGGCAAAAGTTTTTAATCAACTCCTTCTCTAAGAGTTCAGTTTGTCAAAAAACAAATCCTTATTCTTAACACTTGGCATGTGAATAGGAGTTTGAAAAAAATAATGAACTGTGGATAATAATAACTAAATGATTCTAGGAAAATGCTTGAGGAAATGTCAAACTAAGATTATAGATTGATGAGACTGCTATTCTTGTAACTTATTTTCCTGGATACACTCTTTGACATACTTTCATAAATATTTTCTTTGTTGTTGGGAACCAGGCCCCCAAATCTGGCCATAAATTGGCCCCAAAACTGGACATAAATAAAATCTCTGCAGCACTGTGACATGTTTGTGATGGCCTTGACACCCATGCTGGAAGGTTGTCAGTTTACCAGAATGAGGGCAAGGAACACCTGGCCCACTCAGGGCAGAAAACTGCTTAAGACATTCTTAAACCACAAACAATAGCGTGAGCGATCTGTGCCTTTAGGACGTGTTCATGCTACAGATAACTAGCCAGACTCATCCCTTTATTTTGGCCCATTCCTTTATTTCCCATAAGGAATACTTTTAGTAAATCTTATGACTGGCTTGCTGTCAATAAATATGTGGGTAAATCTCTGTTTAAGGCTGTCAGCTCTGAAGACTGTGTGACCCCTGATTTCCCATTCCACACTCTATATTTCTGTGTGTGTGTCTTTAATTCCTCTAGTGCCACTAGGTTAGGGTCTTCCTGACCGAGCTGGTCTTGGCAAGTGGTGTCCATATGTGGGGCTCAAATCCAGGTTGAAGGGTCGCTGGAGAAATAGTTGGAGAACGTGGAACTAAGCTGGAGGACATCCAAGTACTCTTAAAGCAATCCCCGTGGTGAGTAAGAAGGGGAGCAGGGTAACAATGGGACAACTGTGGGCTTTGGTTTGTTCCACCTTGGAATCTTTTCACACTAATGATGAGGAGGAAGGAGAGTACAACGAAGTCACAGAAGAAGTAACAGAGCAGGTTTGTTTGCCAGCTAAAGCTAAAGCGGCAAAGGAGGAAGAAGTCCATCCCTACCCTTCTGTACCCCCTCATTATTTTGAAGAAAAAGAGTGGCCTGACCCTCCAGATCTTTTTTTTCTGGAGGACACTGTGTGAAAAGTAGCTGCCCCAGTGACTGTTTGAGCAGTGCCTTGAGTGACTACTCTCAGTTCTATTCAGGCAGAAATTCAGCAAGCTAGACAAGAGGATGATTTAGAGGCTTGGCAGTTCCCTGTTAGAATACAACCCCCAGATCAACAGGAAATATTATAGCTACATTTGGGCCTTTTCCTTTTAAATTCGGGAAACACGATGAGGGGCCCATCCTGGGCCCCGTATCAAACTGGGGCACTTCTGGCTCGGGCCATTCCCTCACCCCTGTACAATGTCTGTCCGCCACCACAGCTGGTAGTGCTGCAGTAGATTTATGCTGCACAAAAGCTGTGAGCCTTCTGCCTGGGGAACCCCCACAAAAGATCCCAACAGGAGTCTGTGGACCCATGCCAGCGGGGAGGATAAGATTACTTCTAGGAAGGTCTAGTTTAAATATGAAAGATGTACAAGTACAAACTGGAGTCATTGATTCATATTACAATGGGGAAATTCAAATTGTTATATCTACTTCTGTTCCCTGGAAAGCAGAGCCAGGAGAACGCATAGCACAGCTCCTGATTGTGCCATATGTGGAAACGGGGAAAAGTGAAATTAAACGAACAGGAGGATTTGGAAGCACAAATAAAAAAGGCAAAGCAGCTTATTGGGTAAATCAAATTACTGATAAACATCCTACCTGTGAAATAACTATTCAGGGAAAGAAATTTAAAGGTTTGGTAGATACAGGAGCAGACATTTCAATCATTTCTCTACAGCACTGGCCATCCACGTGGTCAATTCACCCTGCTCAATTTAACATAGTTGGAGTTGGTAAACCCCCTGAAGTATATCAAAGTAGTTATATTTTGCATTGTGAAGGGCCCGGTGGACAACCTGGGACTATTCAACCAATTATAACTTCTGTACCTATAAATTTATGGAGAAGAGATTTATTACAACAATGGGGAGCACAAGTTCTAATTCCAGAACAACTATATAGCCCTCGAAGTCAACATATGATGCATGAAATGGGGTATGTCCCTGGTATGGGACTAGGAAAACATTTGCAAGTTTTGAAGGAACCGCTTCAATTGGAAAGACAAAGTTCCCGCCAAGGTTTAGGATATCATTTTTGATGGCAGCCATTGTTAAGCCTCCAGAACCTATACCTTTAAAATGGTTAACAGATAAGCCAGTTTGGATAGAACAATGGCCGCTAAGTAAAGAGAAACTGGAGGCTTTAGAGGACTTCGTTAATGAACAATTAGAAAACGTACACATAGTTCCAACATTTTCCCCTCGGAATTCTCTAGTTTTTGTAATTAAGAAAAAATCAGGTAAATAGAGAATGTTAACTGATTTAAGAGCCATTAATTCAGTTATGCAACCTATGGGGACCTTAGTACATGACATTACCATTGTGCCACGGAAAGTAACCATACATAGGGATCAATTGAAAACATTAAATGACTTTCAAAAATTACTAGGGGACATTAATTGGATACAACCTGCTCTAGGCATTCCTACCTATGCCCTGAGTAATCTATTTTCTATCCTTAGAGGAGATCCTAGTCTCACTGGCCCTCGGCAATTAACAAAAGAAGCTGAGGCAGAGCTGCAGCTAATGGAAAAGCAAGTCCATAAAGCTCAAATCAATAGAATAGATCCAGAGAAGACTCAAGATTTGGTAATTTTTCCAACTCAACATTCACCTACTAATGTTATTGTCCAAGAACAGGACTTAGTAGGGTGGCTTTTTCTTCCACATACTAATTCACAGACTCTAACTCCTTATTTGGATCAAGTCGCTACTATGATAGGAAATGGGAAAACTCGGATGGTTAAATTACATGGATATGATCCTGGAAAAGTTATTGTCCCTCTCACGAAGGCACAAATACAGCAAGCTTTTATAAATAGTCTTATTTGGCAAACCCATTTAGCTGACTGTGTGGGTATTCTTGATAGTCATTTTCCTAAAACGAAACTGTTTCAATTTTTAAAATTAACTAATTGGATTCTCCCTAAAATAACTAAATTTAAACCAATTGGAGGTGCTTAAAATATTTTTACAGGTGGGTCTAGTAATGGTAAAGCTTCTTATTCTGGATGAAAAGGTAAAGTTTTTCAGACGCCCTGTACTTCAGCTCAAAAAGCGGAGCTTGTAGCTGTAATTGAGGTATTGACTGCTTTTGATATGCCTATTAATGTGATTTCTGATTCTTCATATGTCGTTCATTCCACACAATTAATTGAAAATGCTCAGTTATGATTTCATACAGATGAACAACTGATGACTTTATTTACCCAATTTCAAACAGCAGTAAGGAGTAGAATGCACCCTTTTTACATCACTCACATTAGGGCTCATACACCTTTTCCAGGACCTTTGACTGAAGAGAATCAAATGGCTGATCACCTAGTTGCTAATGCGAATCTAATGCTAGACACTTTCACAATTTAACCCATGTTAATGCCTCTGGTCTCAAACGCAGATACAGCATTACCTGGAAAGAAGCTAAAGCTATTATCCAGTGATGCCCAACTTGCCAAATGGTGCATTCCTCATCTTTTACAGGAGGAGTTAATCCTCAAGGATTGGAACCTAAGTCTCTTTGGCAAATGGATGTCACACATGTTCCCTCATTTGGGAGACTAGCTTATGTACATGTATGTGTGGGCCCCTTTTCTCACTTTGTCTGGTATACATGCCAATCAGGAGAGTCTTCTGCCTGTGTTAAACATCACCTTTTGCAGTGTTTTGCGATGATGGGCATTCCAGCTTATATCAAAAAAGATAATGCCCCAGGCTATACTAGCCAAGCTCTAGCTACATTTTTCTCTGTATGGGATACTAAACACATTATTAGTATCCCATATAATTCTCAAGGACAAGCAATAGTGGAAAGAATGAATCTCTCCCTGGAACAGCAGTTGCAAAAGCAGAGGTGGGAAAACAGGGACTATGGAACACTGCAAATGCAACTGAATCAAGCACTATTAACGTAAAATTTTTTGAGCCTGCCTAAAGGCCAGATGCTATCAGCAGCTGAACAGCATCTACAAAAACCAGCTGCAAAGACAGAAGCAGAACAACTGGTTTGTTGGAGAGATCTGATAACAAAAATTTGGGAAATAGGTAACATAATAACTTGGGGTAGAGGTTATGCTTGTGGTTCTCCAGGACTGAATCAACAGCCAATTTGGATACCATCGAGACACCTGAAACCTTATCATGAGCCAGATGCTGAGGAAGAGATTCCAGGAGGATCCTGAGGACCCCCCGGTTGCAGCCATGTTGAGACTGACGCTAAGGAGGACTCCAGGTGTCATGAGCGACACTCGTTGAACACAGCCACCTACTTGGGGACAGATCAAGAAGCTGTCACAGATGTCAGAAGAAAACCTGAGGAAAGCGGGACAACCAGTCACAATGAGTAATTTAATGGTAGCTATGATAGCAGTGATCACCATTGCCATGAGTATTCCTTCAACAAGGGCTGACACAGAGAACAATTATACTTATTGGGCATATTTATCAATCTTGGCTGGCAATAATGCCTGGAGGTAATCATTCTATGAAACAGTTAAACGTGCTTTCTGACCTCACTATTTACCATAATGAATCTGCTCCTATAATTAAGGCATATCACCCTCAAAAACCTATTTGTAAACAAAATTGAACCTGGCCAGAAAAAAATGAATGTACTTGTTTGGGAAGATTGCATTGCAGAACAGGCAGAGATGCTGCACAATGATTCCTATGGAATCATTATTGATTGGTCCCCTAAGGGAATGTTTAGCTTAAATTGCGCCTCTCAGTCTGCATGCAACGGCAACACTATGTTCAGCTGGTCTGAACAAAATGGTCAGATGGTAGAAATGGGAAGAAATATGGCAAGAGTTCCTATTATCTGGAAACATGGCAGTATAGTGGTACCTCAATCTCAAATGATATGGCCCGCTGTAGGAGTTAAACATAAGGATTTGGGGAAACTATTAATGGCTCTTAATAAGATCAAAATATGGGAAAGAATAAAAAAGCATCTAGAAGGACACTCTACAAACTTGTCTTTGGGTATTGAAAAATTAAAAGAACAAATATTTAAATCATCCCAGGCCACTTGACCTTAATGCCAGGAACTGGAGTGCTTGAAGGAGCTACAGACAGATTAGCAGCTAGTAACCAATCAAAATGGATAAAATCACTTGGAAGCTCTGTGATTTCGATGATGATTGTGCTTTTAATCTGTGTTGTTTGCCTTTGTATATTCTGCAGATGCAGATCCTGACTCCTGCAAGAAGTAGCTCACTGTGACAAAGCTGCCTTTGCTTTTATCACTTTGCAAAACAAAGAAGGGTGACATGTTGGGAATAGGCCTCCAAATCTGGCCATAACCTGGCCCCAAAACTGGCCATAAACAAAATCTCTGCAGCACTGTGACATGCTCGTGATGGTCTTGACTCCCACGCTGGAAGGTTATCTGTTTACCGGAATGAGGGCAAGAAACAACTGGCCCACCCAGGGTGGAAAACCGCTTAAGGCATTCTTAAACCACAAACAATAGCATGAACTATCTGTGCCTTAAGGACATGCGCATGCTGCAGATAACTAGCCAGAGCCCATCCCTTTATTTTGGCCCATCCCTTTATTTCCCGTAAGGAATACTTTTAGTAAATCTTATGACTGGCTTGCTGTCTATAAATATGTGGGTAAATCTCTGTTCAAGGCTCTCAGCTCTGAAGGTTGTGAGACCCCTGATTTCCCACTCCACACCTATATTTCTGTGTGTGTGTCTTTAATTCCTCTAGTGCTGCTGGGTTAGGGTCTCCCCGACTGAGCTGGTCTCGGCACTTTGTCTCTTCAAATGAAATTCAAATTCCTAAAGTTAGGAGGGCAGATAAAGCCTTGTGTTAACATTATATCTCCACTGTCTCACATATACAGTCATGAACAACATAATAACCTTTTGGTCAATGACAGACCACATATACATATACAACATATAGCGTCTGTATAATCATATAAGATTATAATAACATATTTTTATTTTACCTTTTCTATGTTTAGATATATTTAGATGCACAAATACTTGTCAATGTGTTAAAATTGCCTATGGCATTCAACACAGTAACATCCCTACAGCATGATGCTGTACAGATTTGTATTCTGAGGGCAATAGACTATAACTTATAGCTTAGGTGTAGAGCAGGTTGTAACATCTAGAACTGTAGAAGTACACTCTACAGTATTCACACAACAATAAAATCGCCTAACAATGCATCTAACAATGCATTTCTCACAACATATTCTCATCATTAAGCAACACATGACTGTAGTAGCTGCTTAATGTTTATTGAATAAATGGATTTAAGAGGCAGAGAAAACTTTAATTTCTGTATATTTTATGTTATATTTTCTTGAGTAAGAACTGTTCATTGCCTTTGAATCATGAGAATATAAGGAACAATAAGATCTGTGGAGCAAATTAATTAATCAGAACAAAATGTTTGAAAGCTATGGTTGCAAGTTTGTGTGTATGTGTGCAAGGCTATGGGCATTACAAGTATTCATGTATGTTTAATATTTATAGACATATCTCCTATACAGTGAGTTTTCATAATACACATTTTTAAATGAATCATTTGACTGAACAACAGTCACAGTATGCTTTCATCTTAGCTATAAGGTATAGGCAATATAGAAGTAGTTCTTTACCATAGGGACTTGAGATGAGAAGAAAGCTCTTGGATTCTATTTCATTATACCAATGGCTGATAATAGTGATAAAGATGATAAAAAGGTGTTAGAAGCCCTGGGCTTTGATATTGCTGTTGGTGATAGGAGAAATAAAGTCATTACTCTTGAGCAGGAGCTAGAATGTTTAAATGCTAAATTTGCCCATGGATGCTTACATTTTATTCTTTATTTGTCTCATGATTAAACAACTTTTATTATTGAAATTCTAACCACTAATTACTGTTTTTTGTTAAAGCAACATTCTAAAAATTTTTTGGTACAAACAGTATTTATTACAGATTCAGGTAAAAAATCTGCACGCATAACCCATGTATATAAAATTTAAAAAAAGACAAAGAACCATTTGGGCATATTTTTTAGAAAAACAGTATTTATTAGAAATGCATTGTTCTTTCAAAATCAACCAGGCTAGGGACTTCTGACAAAGATGGAATATATTTTGACTTCCAGACAAAGATGGAATATATTTAGTTCTTCTTATTGCTCTTGATAAGTACAGCTGAAGTCCCTGGAGGTTATATATAAAACAAACATAAGGAAATTCTGAAAGGTAGAAAAGATGGCAGATCAATTGTGGACCTTAGGGCCCAAGACATAACACAGTAAAAGTCTGTATGTTTTTCTTTTTGCCTCAAATATCCAGGACTGGGAACTAAGGAAGCCAGCAGCTTGGAAACACAAAAACGAACTGATATGGTTTGGGTCTCCACCCAAATCTCATTTTTAATTGTAATTCCTAATGTAGAAGGAGACACGTAGTGGGAGGTGATTGGATCATGGGGGTGGATTTCCCCTTTGCTGTTCTCATGATAGTGAGTGGATTCTCATGAGAACTGACGGTTTTAAAATGTGTAGAACTTCCCCTCTTTTTTTTTCTCTCTCTCTCCTGCTGCCATGTGAAGATGTGTTTGCTTCCCCTTTGCCCTTCTGCCATGATTGTAAGTTTCCTAAGGCCGCCCCAGCCATGTCCTGTACAGTCTATAGAACTGTGAGACAAACCTATTTTCTTTATAAATTACCCAGTCTTGGGTAGTTATTTATAGCAGTGTGCGAACAGACTAATACAGTAACATATCAAAAAGCAAACCAACAGAAGACACACACACACACTCACAAGTCTGTTCAATTTAGCCAAAGGACAGGAAAATGATCAAACTGCAAGTAAGAAAACTTGAATAACTCTCTTATCTGAGCCAAACACTGTGGAAAATGGCCATACTCCAACCCACTCATGTCAGCAAAAGCTAAATGGGGAGTCTAGACCAGCACCACTCCAGTCTATCATGAGCAGTCCCTTCCACTCTGCCTCCAGATGGAATCGTATCAGAGAAGACTGAGTGAAAAGCTGAACTTCCTTCCTTGACTGGTGGTAAAGAGCCTGTGATACTCATGGTGTGAGCACAGGCCACACAGAAATCTTAGATTATCATGCTTCTGACAAGTGGTAGCCCCCTTTTTCTGCTAGTATAGTGTCAGAGGAGACTTACTAAAACAGAAGATTTAAATAAAATCCAGAGTCTAATAATGTAATACCCAAAATGTCCAGGATACAATCAAGACTCACTTGTCATATCAAAAGCCAAGAAAATATTGACTTGAATAAGAAAAGTTGCCAGCAGTAAGATGACATAGATGCTAGGATTATCTAACAAAGATTTTAAAGCAGCTATCATAAAGGTTTCAAAGTGCAATTATGAACTTGATTTAACCACACTGAAAAACAGAAAATATCAGCAAAGACATAGATAATATAAAGAATAAATGAATGAAAATGTAGATAAAATTTAAAATAATGAAAAAAGAAAAAACTCTTAATGAGTGATCTTAAAAACACAATGTAAAAGATAAAGGAGGGAATCAGTGGAATCCATGAACATGAAGATGTAACAATAGAAATCACCCAATATAAATAAAAAAAAGAATAGATAGAAAAACTAAAAGAACCTCAGGAATCTGTAGAACTGTAAGAAAATATCTGACATTTGTACCATTGGATTTCCAGAAGAAGAGTATGAAAAGAGTGTGTCTGAAAAATTATTCAAAGAAATAATGATTAGAAGTTCCCCAAATTTGGCAAAAGACATACACCTACAGATTCAAGAAGAACTCTAAATAGCATAAAACAAAGAAAGCCAAGTCAAAATAAATCATAATTAAATTTCTGAAAAATAAAGACAAAAGGCTGGGTGCAGTGGCTCACGCATATAATCCCAGCTGTGGGAGGCTGAGGCAGGTGGATCACTAGAGGTCAGGAGTTCCAGACCAGGCTGGGCAACATGGTGAAACCCCTTCTCTACTAAAAATACAAAAAATTAGCCAGATGTGGTGGCAGGTGCCTGTAATCCCAGCTACTCAGGAGGCTAAGGCACGACAATCACTTGAACCCAGGAGACGGAAGTTGCGGTGAGCCAAGATCATGCCACTGCACTCCAGCCTGGGCAATACAGTGAGACTCAGTTCCAAAAAAAAAAAAATTCAAAAAATAAAACTTGAAGTAAGCCAAAGACAAATAACGCCTTATATATAGGAGTAAAACAATTTGAATAACCCAGACTTCTATATCCAGCAAAATATCCGTTAAGAATGAAAGGGAAAGTAAGATATTCTCAAGTGAAGGAAAATTATGATAATTTGTCGCCAGTATATTTCCTCTTAAACATGGCTATACTAGATAGAAGGAATGAGATCTAGCATTTGATAGCATAACAGGGTAACTACAGTCAACAATAATTTATTGTACATTTAAAAAAACTAGAAGAGTATAATTGGAATGTTTGTTACACAAAGAAATGATAAATCCTTGAGGTGACAATATACCTCATTTATCCTGTAGTGATTATGACTCATTGTATGCCTGTATCAGAATATCTCATGTGTATCACAAATACATACACCTATGATATATTCATAATTTTTGTTAATGTAATGGCTAAAAAAGTTTTTGAGACAAAATGAACATGATAAAAAGAATCTTGGAAGATGAAATGACACCTGAAAAACATAGACAAATACTATAAACTTTCCTTCTCATGAATTTCTAGGTTGCATTTGATGATTGAAGCAAAATTATAAAATTTGTTTGATGTCATTCTCAATATATGTAAAGGACATATTTAAGACAATTTTATCATAAACTGTAAAGGACAAAGGGGCTTAAAGGAAGGTAAGGTGTTTCATGGTAAGGAAACAGTTAATTTTGTAATTAAACAAACAGTTAAAATGTGATAAAATGGATGAAACTATGCATATAGGTTATACCAATGTTAATTTCCTCAGTTAAAAAAATTGATACAGAATAGATGTATCCATTTTCTGAACACATATGATAATATAATAGATTCATGAATTTGTTAAGATCAAATCAGTGTAATTGGGATATCCATCACTTTAAACATTTGTGTTTATGTTAGAAATGTAAGAATTATTTCTTCTAGCTATTTTGAAATATAGAGTAGATTTTTGTAAACTATAATCATCCTACTGATCTATCAAACACTAGGTCTAATTTCTGCAATCAAACTGTATATGTGTATTAATCAACATCTTGGTATTGTGTCATAATTATGTAAAATGTAACCATTGGGAGAATTGGTGAAAAGTACGCTAGATCTTTTTGTACTATTTTTGCAACTTTCTACAAGTCTTTAGTTATTGCCAAAAAAAATCTTAAAAAGACAAATGTGTTATATAAACTTGCTATATAGTTTTTTCTTTGAAAAGTAAATATATCCCATATAGTATACACAAAGACCTGTTCAGGCGTGCACATTCCAGTTCACATGCAGATTTCATGCTGATCCATCCCATCAAGTAGATCTTTGGAGACTTGTTACAGGATATTTTTAGCTTCCATTCAACGTGATCTTTATAAATATAAGATGTCAGCATGAAATGCAGGAGTCAAGTAAAATTTTAAAATGTGGTGATAATTTCCAAACCAGTATTTAATCAATTGAGCTACTTCTTTGTTGCTTCACACAAAGTAACACACAACATACTCAGTTAACTTTACTGTTTTATATGCAGTATCAATTTACTAGATATTTTAAAATGATATGGAAATATATGTTATAGTGATTATTCCTAATATTTTTTGAATGCTTATTATGAACTTTGTGCATTAGTATATGCATAATAATATACTATCTTAATGTATTTTTTCTGTCTTATCATCAGAGACAAATATAAAGCCCAAAATCTTTAAATAATATACTCAGGATCATCCATTTAGTTAGTGGCCAAAGGTAATATTTAAACCTAAATTTCTATCAGGAAGCTTATAATCAGGAAAAAAAACCTCACAAGTATTTCAAACAGGAAATATTTAACACAAAGAATTGGTGTGTTGCATGGATCTTTGAAAATGGAGAAAGCAAAAGTTATGTGTTAACTCAGGAATTAGAAACTCTCAGAAGCAGTTCCTACCTGAAAGGCTGGGAGAACACAAGTGAAGAAGTGTTAAGGAAAAGAATCTCAGAGCACAGACAAAGGCCTAACGTTTAGTAACCAATGCTCCAGAGGCAATGTCAGAATAAGGAAAACTAGAGTGAGAATCAGAATGAGAGCAAGAGAAAGAGAAAGATGAATATGTCTGTTCCTCTCCTGATTTCTCTCTCATCTCCCAGTAGTGCCTCTTATTGATCACACTCAGAGTTGGCCATCTAAAAAATACTCTGGGAAACAGAGTTTGCAGATGAACCCCCACCACCACCTAGTGCAGACAGGGGTGGTTAAGACACCACAAACAAAAAACTGGGATAGATAGAGTTTTTTAAAGCCATAATATTTATACTGTAACATGCTGCCTTCAAACTGCCTTCAAAGTAGGCACTGTGCACTAATACTCAAAACCTTAAAACCTGAAAAGCTAAATTTTATTTTTTGTAATTTCTAAGAGTTTTAAAACAATGTAATATATGCTTTTCTTTGCTCTTTCTTTCCCACCAGCTTTCCAGAAGTGCAGGAATATGCAATTTTAGTTTATAGTTAAGCAGTTATATAAAAATCTTTAAAATTAAGAAATAATTCTGGCTGGGCATGGTGGCTCACGCCTGTAATGCCAGCACTTTGGGAGGCCGAGGTGGGCGGATCATTTGAGATCAGGAGTTCAAGACCAGCCTGGCCCACATTGTGAAACCCCATCTCTGCTAGTGAATCCCCATCTCTACTAAAAATACAGAAATTAGCAGGGCAGTAGTGGCACAAGCCTGTAATTCCAGCTACTTGGGAAGCCGAGGCTGGAGAATCACTTGCACCTGGGAGGCGGAGGTTGCAGTGAGCCAAGATCTTGCTACTGCATTACAGTCTGGGCGACAGGGTGAGACGCTGTCTCAAAATAATAATAACAATTCTAACCTTTGACATCATCCAAAGACAAAATTACTGAACTGCTTCATTTTCTCTCTGTAGATCTCTAGTTGGCATTCAAGGTGCTAATGAAGCCAAAGTCTCAGGTATATATACTTAGAGGGTCAGTTAGCATCACTAACCTCCAGGTACACAGATGATTTTTCTAAACTTAAACATGTTAACAGATGCTGCTGTTCACCTGAAATACTCAGTGATGGATGACCAACAGTGCTAAACTCACTAGTAGCTTAGTTTTGTTTTTTTTTAAATGTGACCCAGAGATATCAATGAATTTGACCCAATGGATTTTTATCCCTTCCTTATCTATGTATTATGTTATCTTTTGCACCAACATAGATCAAACAAAAGTAAACTTTTTTCTTATTTGTTGGACTTCTTGTTTAAAAAGTCAATGCTGTCAGGATATAGTTTGGATTCTGCAGGAAATTCTATAGGAAAATGAATAAGGTATTATTAAAAAGACCTGCTCAATTTTGTACCTGGTATACTTATTATTTATACAGATCATAAAGAGGCAGAAGTTAAATGAACTAAAGTACAGTTGCATCTTCAGTGGCCAAAAGAAGAAAGAAAATAATGAGAAATCCATGCTGACATCATATACTGGGAAGCTTGTCATTAATATTGTTACATGCATGATATGTAACACATGAAGATAGAGTAAAAGAAAAAGCTTTTCTCTGGCTTACACTTTTAAAATTTCTTGCTTAGATGCCCATAGTGGGAACATATAATGGGACAATTCTTTCCATGTGTCTCTCTAGACTCCAATTCAGTCTTGTGGATTTAATTACTTGTGAGAACTTGAGCAGCATCTGACTGTCAGCTTGGAGTAGATGAGTAGTGTCTAAACAGTTAGTATAAATTAGTGGGACATGAAATTAATTTAATAATTTAGTAAATCTTGACCATACTTTTTTAAATGAAACAGAATATTATAAGATAATATAGAAGAACAGACTAGAATATGACAGAAGCAGAATAGTTCAAGAGGTGAGTAATGTTTTGTAAAATGTTTAGTTCTTTCTCTCTCTCTGTCTCTATCTCTGTGTGTGTGTGTGCGTGGGGGGTGTGGAAGGTGTACATGTGTTCTGGGTTATGATATAAAATGTGTTATAAGTTGTGGTGAAAAGAAAAGTTTGAATTTGACAAATGTAGCAAAAGAGAGCAAACCAAAACAATTGTGTATTTCTGTGCTATCTAGGTCAAACTACTCTGGCCCATGTTCTTCTGGCAACTGAAGGGAAAAGGGAAGTGGAGCTTGATGCTTTAGAATACTACTTCTTTAGAAAACATCCTTTTTGGCTTAGCTAAATTCTTCTATCCTCATTATAGATGAAAGTAAGATGTGAGCCTCTTTAAAAACCAGCATTTTTCATCACTCTGTAGAATTACCTTCTCTCCCAATCATATAGCTGTGTCTTGTAGATTTGAGACTTCTTTTACTTAGTGCATAGTTTTTCATACTGTCTTTATATCATAATTGCACAGTGCATACAATACTGGTTATTTAGCAGGGGGTGGGTATGGGGGGCAGTTGTGGTTGTCCCAAAAAGCAGAAGACTGAGTAATACTGACATAGTTTGCTAGTTGTCAGGTGTTGCCAATTTGATTGAGTTAGGCAGACTCTAAGATGGCCCCAATATTTTCCACTTCCTAGTATTCATGGCTTTATGTAAGACCCTCCCCTTGAGTAACTTCATTCTTACCAATCGAATATAAAAACAATGAAGGACTGCCACTTCTATGATTAAATTACAAAAGATTGTCACTTCTATCTTGCTAGTAGATTCTTGATATTGCCTTGTTGGTTCGTACAATTTGGTGAATAAGCTTTCATGTGGGAGAGGTCCACATGGAAAGGAATTAGGGGTGCCTCCAGCCAAAAGCCAGCAGGGAACTTAGGCCATCAGTCTCTCCAGGAACAGCTCTATGGAAGCTGAAAGCTTCCAATGATAAGATGAGCTCAGAATTGGATCCTTCTCCAATTGAATCTTCAGATGAGACCCGAGCCCTGGCAGACAATTTGACTGCAGTCTTTTGAGATATTCAAAACAGAGGATCTACCTATGCCATACCCAAATCCCTGATCCACAGAAATTATGAGGCAATATTTCTTGTTTTAAATAGCTAATTTTGGGGGTATTTGTTACATAGCTATTGATTACAAATGCAGTGGTACTAGTTCTCAAACAAGGGACATTTGGCAATATAAAATATTTGAATTTTCTTTGGTTTTCACAAAGGTAGAGGCCAGAGATGCTGCTAACCATTCTACAATGCACAGACAGACCCAGACAGCAAATGATTTTTTGACTCAAAATGTCAGTAATGGCAAGGTTAAGAAGCCATAGTCTACACACTTAAGCAGATTTCAGTACCTTTAGACAAGAGATCTTAAGTCTCATATTCTGCACACTATTCCTAATGTCTACTAATAAAAATAAATTATTTGTAAATACATTTCTTGGAAGCCAATTGTAGAATCAATGGCATTTCATTCATTTTCAAAGGGTCACAATGCTTTTTTCTTTAGAAATATCCCAGGAAGAAAAGTATGAAATATATCTCCATTAAAATACTTTGTTTATTAATTTTAGAGATAGGTCCATTCTGAAATGTATGGGTAGGCTGGAAGCTGATAATAAAACATCTAAATGAGCAAGAGAAATTTTACATATTAATCTCTCTGTGGTAATACTGGAGCAGACAAATTTATCTTTCTCTATATTTGGCAAGTTATGCTCCCCCCTCAGGCTAAGACTCATTATGCCAAGTTATATCTTACACTGAAATGGTTGACATAAAACAAAAGGACCTCCTAAAATCCTGGTGGGTGTGTCTGTAACTTTTTACACTCAAACTATAGTGCATCATGAATAAATCAGTGGAGTCGTCATGAGAGAAGGCATACACTTTTTTTCACAAATGGAACTGTAAGCAACCGGTGCACATTGTGAACAGCCACTATGTTTCATTTATGACCTGTCCTGTCAGAGAAATGGCACAATTTGTATTGCACACAAATTGATATATTTTTGGTACATAAAAACAAGCTGGATGGTAAGGAAATGCATACTGATATGTTTGTGCCTTCTGTCTTACTCAGAGCAATAATATAATTACAATTATGGTTTTTTTTTTAAGAAAACAAGTATAGTAGCATATATTCCAGGGAAGAAACATTCCCTCATGCTAATGGCAAGAGTTTTCAACCTTTGTAGTTATCACAAGCACACAGTCTCAGCATAGCCATGCTCTAGTCACCTTCATCAATAAGCTAGATGGCACCTTAGTCTTGACTGAACATTTAGCACTTCACTTTTGCCTGCATAGACTGGGGAATACTGGTTAAGGATATAGATGCCAAGGTCTGTTACCCTTCAAGGACATTTCTGTCCCAAGTTTGTTATCTAAACCAGTTAATATGTCTTTCCTTCAATAACACCGTCTTAAATCCGCAGTGGGAATATAGTTTTCTCCCTTGTTTAAAATTATAAAATGCTGTTTATTGTTATGCATTTTACATATATTGCATGTCTAAGTTGTTTGTGCTTACATTTCTGCAGTGAACAATTTCCATTAGAACCTAAAAATTGCAAAGCACTTAACTATTATAAATGTGGATTGTTGTTGTCTGATCATCAAATCTATATTTCTTGTTTGACTGGTTTGACTTGACGATTCCTGAGTGTGTCATTCACCCTATAGAAAAATCATACGAAGTTGACAGATAGCAGCACTTACATGATAATTAATTAATTAATAGTGGCCCATAGAAGCACTTTAATACCTTATGTTGACCATTTCCCTGGCACCATCAAAATAACACAGTAATCTTCCTTATTTCTTTCCTTGGTAATAAGAGATAATCTAATTCTTCTCAAAGATACATCTGACTTTGAAAGTCTAAATTGTTGACTTTCCTGGAATAATGTTTTATTTTCTAGGACAGGAAAGACAATATGGTTAGTGTGCAATTGCTATAACGTAAGGGAAAACACAATTAAATTTAATTAAGCAGATTTAATGACCAAAATGTTAATACAGTTTCTAGTTTATAATATCCAGCCTTAATGTGTGTTTGTCTGATGAATACATAGTGCCTCTCAACATTCATTTGCTTGACTCTGCTGCCTGTCACAGAAGGAAGTTGAATGGTTCAGAGAGAAGAATAAACAATTATTCTTGTATAACATGCTTATTTATGGCATATTTGGTTTATAATAAAATAGAAGAGTTAAGCAGAATAGCATCCATCTTAAAAAATAAGACATGAAGGAGCTAAAAATAAAAATGAGAGGAAGAGAATATAAACATGCATCAGATAATTATGCTTCCTCATTAACTCTCATTGCAATCTTATAAATGGAACTAAATAGCCTGGCATGTTTAGAAGACTAAATGTATTCCATTAGTAAGATTTACTTGCTAATAAAATGAAAAATATTCGGCTTTATAGGTAGATATTTGGGTTAATTCCTATTGTCTTATCATCATATCCAAATGACACTAGGCAATTAATGCTTACTGATGGCAACAAAGTTATCTTCTGATAATAAGTACAAAATCATAAAAGCTTATAAATTGCAGTGCCAAGTGTTTAGTGTGTATTCATTTTGTGAATTTGCCTCTTACAATGAGGCGTTTAAATATGTGACTCTCTACAGGTAATTCAACAGTAAGTTTCCTTTTGGCTTCAGGAGAACTATCTAAAGAGGGTGACAAAAAATAAAATTTATTTTATTGTTTCTTCTTGGAGGACAAAAGTTACTGAAATACATGGACCTTCACTTAAATGAGTGGCTCCAATTTAAATAAAATCTATTGTAATATGACTTCCCTGTTTGGAAATTTAGACACGTGGTTGATAGATGACTAGCTAGAGGAGAATCAGAGATAATTTTGTACTTGCATCACATAATACAATATGAGCAAATGTATATAATGCTTAAAAGAGAGATTTGTTTTTTGGGAAGAGTTAGATAATGATGAGTTGGGAAAGAAGCCTGGAGGAAAGGAGTTCAGAAGAAGCACTAAAGAGGGAACATGGCACAGTCAATGCAGTGCTTTGCAAGCAGTAGTTCTCATACCACCTGCACTACACTTAACTGAAATACTTAATAAATATGCAAATTTCTGGGACCACTCGAAACACACTGGATGAAAATCTTTTAGGGTTGAACAGAGCATCTGATTTTTTAACAAACATGTTTGGCAATTCTGAGGTACATTAAGGATTGAGACCAATTGATAATAAAGAATATATTTTTGATTTTTTATAAGTAGAAGGACAACTGTTTTAAGAATAATCAGGGAACTCATCTTTAGCACTTTCTTTATCTCTTAACTTTTTTATTTCAGCACATCTGCTTCATGATTTTCAGCAGCCTAGCTTTGTCTGCTATATAGTCCACCTGGAAGAAGACAGTCTAATCACAATGTACGTTATTTTTACATCCCTGTTAAAGAAACCAGCAAAGTCTGAGACTACATTTACTTAGCTTCATTTTATTCCTAGGGAAGGGAGTCTCATTAGCTCAGCTTGAACTAAGTACGCTCCCCTGGTCCAAGTTATGGGCAGTAGACAGGGCCATGAAATAAGACATATTTACATGGTCCCACCACAACTTCCTATGAATTTATTCAAAATATATGAGCATATACAATGTGACAGAGACAGGACACTATATTAGACATAAAACAGTAAACAGTCAGGAGTGAGGGAGGAATGTTCTCAGACATGAGCAATTCATTGTAGGCTGGGCGAGTAACTTAAAACATGTCAGTTAAAATTAGCAAAATACTGGTAAGAATCTAAATGTTCAACGGTAAGGCTGAAATGAGATACATCTATGAAATAGAAGAGTGAAAAAAACTGTCCTCGAAGAATATATAGAATGAAGGAAACTACTTAACATATATTTTTATGCTAAGCACACACACACATTATAAAATGTCTGTAATATAACCCTATTTAAAAATAAATACAAAAGCTAAAAAACATTGGGAGATATAAAAAAGTGGCATGGTTACCTGCCATTGGATTTCAGGTGTTTTTTTCTTTTCTTCTTCAAAAATTTCTAATTTTTGCAAATTTATGTGATAAATAGATATTACTTTTGTAATTGGCAGAAAATAAAAGAGAAAGGAATAATATTTAATGTGCAGCTTGCTGCTTGTTAGGCAGTTTGAATGTTAGCTGAGCCACTACTTCTAAGACCAACCAACAACCAAAGACGTTGTACCTTTTTTCAGTGTTTGCGGAACCATAGATAATTGGCTTATGGAATACTTCTTTTCCTGAAGCTAACTGTGGGTAGAAAACGTAACTTGCATTTTCTGCAGGGCATAGGCTAACCAATGAAGCTGTAATAGAAAAAAGCAGTCCTCAGAATTCTGTCCTCAGGATGTTGTGATCTTACACATGTATCGTCTTAAATTCACATAGTATATGGGTTGACAGCAACATGAAAAGTACCATTACTAAACTGATCATACACAAAAAAATGTCAGCTAGAATATAGCAGTCATTTGTATTTTTTGGCCAAAAAATAATTCCTTTTATTTGGAGAAAATTCCAAGATAGGTTAAAGGTATTATTCCACCTCTCACTACAAAAGTACTATAGAATAAACACATTCTCTTCCACTCCAGAGACAGCTATAATGTGGACTTGCGGCCTCAATGTAGACAATTGGATGATTGTATTTAGGATTTGACTTCTGAGATAACTGTTCAAAGGTTCAAGAACAATCATGATTTTTTAGCTGCTAAATTGGCTATTTCTAGATATGAGTAGCATTTGGAGAGTGTCTGATGGTGAATGCATAAGCTGTGCCACCCACACTGTTACTGTGGTCAGGTCTGGGCTTTGCCTTACTCCTCTTGATCTGTTCAGTTAGCTAGTCATTCTGTGGATTCTGTAGGGCAGCCATTTTTCATTGTACTAAGTATTATTGATACCCAAGGACATTTGGTATTGTATTAAATACTACATTAAATTCAATGATGGCCAGATTTTATTTCTACATTTTAATAGCTAACTTTCACTAAAGTCTTGTTAACAATTTTCCTACTCATTTTGGGGTCTTAATAAGCAAAACAAGAGGAATGTTAAAGATGGCCAAGTAGAAACAGTCAGGAAGAGCTTCTCCCATTGAAAGAGACCAAAATATCTAGTAGACCAGCATACTCCAAACAGATCTTCTAAGAGAATGCACTGAGAGGGATTGGAGAGATGACACAGACACTGGGGCTAAGGGGAGAGGAAGCTGCCAGCACTCCATCGGGTTGCCAGTACTGAAACTAATAAGAACAGAAATAGAACATACAAGAATCTTTGGGACATATCTAAAACAGTGCTAAGAAAGTTTATATCATTAAATTCCCACATCAAGAAATTAGAAAGACCTCAAATTAGCAACCTAACATCACACCTGTAGAAACTGGAAAACAAGAGCATTCCAACCTCAAAGCTAGCAGAAGAAAAGAAATAACCAAATTAGAAAGGAAGTAAACAAAATTGAAATGTGAAAATCCATACTAAAGGTTAAATGAAACCAAGAATTGGTTTCTCGAAAGAATAAACAGGATTTCTAGACCACTAACTAGGTTAATAAAGAAAAAAAGAAGAGGCAAATAAGCACAATCAGAAAGGACATGGGTGACATTACAACCAACCCTAAAGAAACACAAAAAAATCCATGGAGACTATTACAAACCCCTCTATGCACACAAGCTAGAAAAACCGTAGAAAATGGATAAGCTTTTGGAAACACACCATCCCAAGATTGTGGGAAGAAATTAAAAGAAGAAATCAAAACACTGAACTGATCAATGAGTTCCATAATTGAATCAAAAATAAAAAAATCTGTCAACCAAAAAAAAGTCCAGAACCAGATGAATTTACAGCCAAATTATACCAGACATACAAAGGGCTACAACTAATCGTACTGAAATTATTCCAAAAAATTGAGGTGGAGCGATAACTCCCTACCTCATTTTATGATGCCAACATCATTATGATACCAAAATCTGGTAGAAACATATAGACACACACACAAGGAAGATTTCAGGTCAGTATACCTGATGAATGTACATGCAAAAATCTTCAACAAAATACTAGCAAACTGAATTCAGCAGCACATTGAAAAGTTAATTCACCACTCTCAAGTAGGCTTTATTCCAGGGATGCAAGTTTGGTTCAACAAATACAAATCAATCAGTGTGATTCACTGCATAAAAACAAAAACCATATGATCATCTCAATAGAGAAATGTTTTTGATAAAATTTATCATCTATTTTTAAAACCCTCAAAAACTAGGCATTAAAGGAACATGTATCAAAATAATAAAAGCCATTTTATGACAAATCCACAGCCAACATCATGCTGAATGGCCAAAAGCTGAAAGCATTTTCCTTGAGAACTGGGAGAAAATGAGGATACTCACTGTCACCATTCCCATTCAGCATAGTACTGGAAGTCCTGGCCAGAGCAATCAGGCAAGATAAAGAACTGAAAGGCATCCAAATAGGAAGAGTGAAATCAAATTATCTCTCTTCACTTATGATATGAGTCTATACTAGAAAACACAAAAGCCTCTTCCAAAAGGCTTCTAGAGCTCATAAAGGACTTCAGTAAAGTTTCAAGATACAAAATAAATGTACAAAACCAGTAGCATTTCTATACAGCAATGAATAGAGCCAAATCAAGAATGCAGTCACATTTATAATAGCTACAAAAATTAGTGAAATACTTAGGAATCACCAACCAAGGAGGTAAAAGATCTCTATAAGAATTAGAAAACACTGTTGAAAGAAATCTAAGTTGACATAAAAAAGTTGGAAAATATTCCATGTTCCTAGATAGGAAGAATCAATATTGTTTAAATGGCCATGTTACCCAAAGCAATTTGCAGATTCAATGCTATTCTTATCAAACTACCAAGGTCATTTTTCTTAGAATCAGAAAAAAGTATTCTAAAATTCATGTGGAATCAAAAAAGAGCCTCAATACTCAAAGCAATCCTAACCAAAAAGGATAAATCTGGAGGCATCACACTACCTGACTTCAAACTATACTACTAGACTACAGTAATGAAAACAGTTTTGTAGTGCTATAAAAACAGATACATAGAGCAATGCATTTGGAAAAGGACTCCCTATTCAACAAATGGTGCTAGGGTAGCTGGCTAGCTAGCCATATGCAGAAATTGAAACTGAATCACTACCATTCACCATATACAAAAATTAACTCAGGATAGATTAAAAACATAAATGTAAGATCTAACATTATAAAAATATTAAAAGAAAGCTTAGGAAATGCCCTTCTGGACATTGGCCTTGGCAAAGAATTTATGAGTAAGTCACCAAAAGCAATCACAACAAAAAGAAAAAGTGACAAGTGGAACCTAATTAAACTAACAAGCTTCTGCACAACAACAACAACAAAAACTATCTGTCAATAGAGTAAACAGACAACTTGTGGACAAAATATTCACAAACTATGCATCCAACAAAGGTCTAATATACAGAATCCATAAGGATCTTAATTCAACAAGCAAAAAACCAAATAACCCCATTAAAAATGGGCAAATAATATGAACAGAAACTTCTCAAAAGTAGATATACAAGCAGCCAACAAATATATAAAAAAAGATCAACATCACTAATTATTAAAGAAATGCAAATCCAAACCACATTTAGGTGCCATCTCACACCAGTCAGAATGGCTTTTATTAAAAAGTCAAAAAATAACAGGATGTTGGTAAGGTTGTGGAGAAAAGGGAACACTTACACACTTTTGGTGGAAATTAAAATTAGTTCAGCCACTGTGGAAAGCAGTTTGGAGGTTTCTCAAATAACGTAAAACAAAACAACTAATAGCAATACTATACTGAGTATATATCCAAAGGAAAATAAATCATTCCACCAAAAAGACACAGGCACTCATATGTTAATCACAGCACTATTCAAAATAGCAAAGACATGAGATCAATCTAGATGCTCATCAACGATGGGGTGTATAGAGAAAATTTGATACGTATACACCATGCAATACTACACAGTCAAAAAAAAAAAGAATGAAATAATCTTCTTTGCAGCAACATGGATGCAGTTGAAGGCCATTCCCAAGTGAATTAATGGAAGAACGGAAAACAAAATACCGCATGTTCTCACTTATAAGTGGGAGCTAATCATTGAGTACACATGGACTCAAAGATGGGAACAATAGGCAGACACTGGAGACTACCAGGGGAGAGGGGGGTGAGGGAGAGAGAGGGTTGAACAGTTAACTAGTGGGTATTATGCTCACTACCTGGGTGATGAAATTATTTACGCACCAAACCTCAGTGACATGCAAATTACCCATGTAACAAATCTGCACATATACCCCCTGAACCTAAAATAAGAGTCAGAAAAAACAAATTTCAACACAATGCCATTTTTAATTATTTTATTGAAAATAATTTTTGTGATAAAACAGATATTTTAATATTCACAAGATAATACTTTACTTAGAAATACATAGACTAAAAGATGCATGATATTTATGGAGAATAGGAGTTAAAAAAGAACATAAAAGAAGCTCCAGACCATACCTATAATTCCAGCACTTTGGGAGGCTGAGGCAGGTGGATTGCTTGAGCCCAGGAATTCAAAACCAGCCTGGGCAGCAGAGTGAAATTTTGTATCTACAAAAACAAACAAACAAACAAACAAAAAAATAGACAGGCATGGTGATGCACACCTGTAGGCCCAGCTACTCAGGAAACTGAGGTGGGAGCATTGCTTGAGCCTCAGGAGACTCTGTATGTTACAAAAAATGCCAATGAACATAAGAGAAGGCTTTTGAACTTATGAAAACGCATGATATATCTCTCCATCGTAACAATATAAATAAATGAAAATGGCAAGTGTTGATGATGATGTGGGGAAATGGGAGCATAAATGTGTGTTAGGCAGAAAAATATCCCCCTAAAGATGTCTGCATTCTAATCCTGTGATGATGTTACCTTACATGGCAAAGGAAGTTGCAATTGTGATTAAGGTTAAGGACTCTGAGGTGAAGAGTGTTTCCTAGATTATCCGGGTGTGCCCAGTATAATCTCATGAATCCTTAAATGTGGAAACATTTTCTGAGCTGCAGATAACCGATAAATGGCAGCTTGAGAAGGTCCCACTGCTGGCTTTGAAAATGGAAGAAGGAGGGCATGAGCCCAGGAATCTGAGAGGCTCCTAGAGGCTGGAAGGACAAGGGAACTGTTTCTCTCCTAGAGCCTCCCAGAAGTAACCAGCCTGTGGACCCCTTGACTTTAGCGCAGTGAAATCTATTTTGGATTTCAACCTCCAGACGTAGACGACACCAATATGTGTTGTTTTACGCCACTAAATTTTGGTGATTTGTTACAGCAGTAATAGAAACTAGTACAATCTGCATAATGAGATGCCTGTAGATAGACTAAGATAGATAGATACATAGATAGATAGAATGCTGCAATTATGAAACATCTGTGATAATTATAGCATTATAGATAGAATGCTGCAACCATCAAACATATCTGGGGTAATTATAGCTTATTTTAACAGCTATCTAAATGTCCATCATTAGGGAATGGATAACAAACAATAGTATATTTATATTTGATATACTATATAGCAGTTAAAACAGAATAAGCCAGATATTCATATATCAACATATTTAAATTCTCAAATCACAAGATAATAGCCACAAGATAATACTTTACTTAGAAATATATAGACTAAAAGATTCATGATATTTATGGAGAAAAATAGGAGTAAAAAAAGAACAGAAAAGAAGCTCCAAAACACTGAAACACCAAAACAACTTACAGAATGGCAATTAATTCTTTTACCATTTGTAAAATTTAATTATTAAAACTGGAAACACCATACATTATATATGGAGAGTTACACTGAGTAAAAGTTCATTGGAAGATTATCCAAAAATTTCACTATAGTAGTTGCTACTGTAACAGGAAATGAGACTGAGAAGGATTCCAAAGATAATTTCAAATATATCTGAAATGTTTAAGGTTTTTATCTTTTAAATCCCAAAAGCAAAATATATGAAAAAACATATATATATATATATATATATATATATATATATATATATATATATGGAAAGGAGGAAGCAAGAAAGTAGGGATGGAAATAGTATTTTGAGGCCAAATGCCCTGAGATTAAGTTGGAACATTACTGTTTGCTGTGTAAATTTAGGCAAATTACTTGAGTTCTCTAAACCTGAACTTTTGTTACCTGGAAAAATAAATAGATGTTTTTTTTTTTTCATGCTGTTGGAAGAATTAGAAGAGATAATTTATGTAAGGTGGATAATGTAAATAAAAGCCTTGCATATGATAAGGACTTAATAGATATTATTTATTTCTTCTTTCTGCAACATTACACATGGTAGGTCCGGTCTCTGTAGGTATGTATCTCTGTCAGATGAAGAGGGAAAATCAACTCTAAAACTACTTCAAGAACTTGTTAACTTGACTCACAGAGACATCTGGGTAACAACTTTGTTTTAACCCTGTAACAGTAAATTCAGGATGGGGCTGCCCCAAGTTCTGTAAGTTTAGGGAGACTGAGAGTGAAAGATGAGAAATTTGTTTAGTTCTGTCTACTCTGTGTACTATCCCTTAACAATCCTCTCATGCCATGCATTATGCACATTATACATGAAATTGCACTTGGGTCAGATTTTGGGCTTTCCAGTATGGATCTAGGCAAGATTGTATCCTGAATCCTTTTAGCTATTTTGGTCCTGAAGGACAGTTGAGCTTCCAAGTTCTGATCTTTATTCTTTCAGCCTTATCATCCAAAAATTGGCCTACTCGTCAGCCTCTTTTCAGTAGTCTAAAATGCTTACACATGCATATGTAATGGTAGAATTTTGATAAATTTCATTGCGTAGCCTATCTTGCGCTGGAGGAAAAAATTTTTTTATTATTGCTTTGTCTCTCTTGCCTTCTTAGTGATGATGAAAGATGTAGGAGAACTGTAATGGTCAGAAAACGAGACCAGTATCTCTAGTCTTTTGTCTACCAAATGTCCCAGCACCTCTAAACTCACCATTTTTTCTGGGCTACACTAATTAATTCAGAGATGGGGATATAAATTTTTATTTTATTTTATTTTATTTATTTATTTATTTTTGAGATGGAATCTTTCTCTGTCATCCAGTCTGGAGTGCAGTGGCACGATCTCGGCTCACTGAAACCTCTGCCTCCTGGGTTCAAGCTATTCTCCTGCCTCAGCCTCCCGAGTAGCTGGAACTACAGGCATGCACCACCATGCCCGGCTAATTTTTGTAGTTTTAGTAGAGATGGGGTTTCAACATGTTGGTTAGGCTGGTCTCGAACTCCTGACCTCATGATCCGCTCACCTCGGCCTCCCAAAGTGCTGGGATTACAGGTGTGAGCCACCATGACCAGCCGGGAATATAACTTTTAGGAATGCTGAGATGTTAGTTGGAGTTTGGGGATGGAAGACTCTTTTATACTCTACTTGATCATGGAAGAATAACCATGACATTTATGGTAGCCATCTGACTACTACGAAGAGTTTGTGATTAAGTCTAAATGGAAGAAAGAAGTGTCAATAAGTGGCGATAGACCTGGTCTAAATACCCATTAACCCTCTATCTCAATCTATAGTTAACTAGATCTTTTTCAGAACTTTTTTTCTTTAGACAATTTAGTAGAGTTTACTGTAACTTTGAAATGAAAATGAGGTTTAGTTCGTTTCTTATAATATATGGTTACCAAAGGAGTTAGCCTGGTAGCTGCAGTTCAGAATGTCTTATGGGGCTTATTAATTCTTATTAGTAGTATTGAATGATGTCTGATAGATACTCAAACTCTCATTTAGTATTTAAATATGAGTCCTAACTTAACTAATTCCATCCCTTATTCCTTTTCTGGGGCTGAGTTATACTTTCTGCAATCCCCAATTCCTGGAGAGCTGGAGTGGAGGTTTGCTAAATACAGACAGATGAATTGTGTTTTCTAATCAACAGTCTGAATAGAATTTCTTAGTGATATGCTATGCTTGACATATTAAATGTTTTGACATCCCTGATTGCCTGTAGCTTTCCTGAACTTGCATGATGCTGAGGCTATTGTTCCTTGGACCATTTGCTTATGATTCCCCAAGTAACAGGCTGGAATGCAGAGCTCTCTGGGCATGGCTAGTTTGCAAGACTAAAGGGTATGAATGTAGAAACAAGCAGATGCTTAATTGGAAAAGGTAGGAACTGAGAACAAGCTATGGCGGAGGAAAAAACTAATACTCTGAAACTTGACCAAAGAGAAACCATGGAATAAATAATTATGGAAACAGTTGAATCCATAAGAAAGAGCCAGAAAACAAAAACTGCTCAAAGCCAATGAAACACTTATAGGATTAAAAGGACTCAAGCAAACTGAGACAAGAATATCAATTATAAAAAAACAAGCAAATGCACTGGGGTGTGCAATAATTCAATTCAATTCTGACACTAACTACTTGGAGTTAGTGCAGACCTCCACAGGTTAAGGGGCTCAGTTCCACAAGATTGCCCCGCTTCAGATGCCAGCCTGTAATGAGGCTGTCAGGCTACCAGCACTTCTTTGCAGCTGGCTAACAATTTGAGGAGGGTTCCCCCAGTCTTTTCCTCAGATTCAATAGTTTGCTAGAATGACACATAGAACTCAGGAAAGGGCTGTACTTATTATTACAGTTTTAATAGGATACGATTCAAGAAAGACCAAATGGAAGTAGTTTACAGGACACAGTACAAGGAAAACAGTGGCATTCCATGGCTTCTCCAGGTATACCACCCTCTCAGGACCTCAGTGTTTTCACCAACCCAGAACCAACCCCCTGCCATTGAAATCTCATCATTCAGAGTTTCTAATTCAGAGATTTCATTACAGAAGCATAATTGATTAAGGCATTGACCATGGCCGATTAAACGCAATCTCCAGTGCCTTTCTGTCGAGGTTGGCAAGGGGCAAGGGATGGGGGAAGGTGGAGCTGAAAGTTTCAACCCTCTGATCATGTGGCCTGTTCCTCTGATGATCACATCCTATCCTGAAGGTATTTAGGGGCCTGCTATGAGTCAACATTGGCATAAATTCAGGCACGCTTTAAAGGAGTTACTTAGAAATAACAAAATACATTATTATTAGTTAGGAAATTCCAGAGATTTTAGGAGTTCTGTGCCAGGAACTTGAAACAAAGACCAAATATATTTTTATTATACCATAGGATTATTCCTGAATTTCCAGAAGTGATATATAGACAAGCCAGAACCTTCATTTCCCTCATGAACTCTTGTTCTTTTTGCTGAGGCCTGTATTATTTTTTTGAACTGATTAAAACAGAGTCTCTGAAAATTATTTAATATTGCATGGGCTGATTAGTAGCTTTAGATAAAAAAATTCATATACATTTTATAAAATTGAAATGCAAAATTCTTCATGGTCTTTATAATAATTCTCTTTTGTTCTAACTCTTATTATACTCCGCAAGACTGTAATAAAGCCTGAAGGATTACGTCAATCACTTCATCTTGGCTGCAGTTGTTCATGCCTCTCCTACTTGTATATTATTTTCCTGTTAATGGTTTCATTTGTTCAGTTTGTATTTTCATAGGTATTGCTATATTGAATAACATTTTCAATTCCAAAAGTTGATTATGGACTTGTATTATTCAAGATGTTAGGTAATAATAAATAACCATAAAACTCAGTAGCTTAATATAACTAAATGTTGTCTTGGCTTTCTGCTTCCTGTCTAAAAGACAAGCAGGGAGCTCTCCTCACTACAGTCACTGGGAACATCGGCCTTCGGTGGCTTCATCTTGACACCTGTTTCTCAGATGGCCATGGCAGAGGGAAGAGAACCTGGCAACTCATGGGTTGGCTCCAAGAGCTTTTGCCCAGAACTAATGTGTCTCATCTGCTCACATTTTATTGAGTAAAGCCTCATGAATCTCTCTCTTGACTTAATTGCAGATATAGTGATCTTGTCAGGTTTTGGTAGGAAATCCAAACATTTAATCTATTTTCCTGGAGAGATTTTGATGAACTGAAAAGGTTTTTTCCATGTGCAGCCACGGATCATTCAGAGGTTTTAATAATGAGTTCAATGGCCATTCCCTTGATTTGATGCTTGCCAAGAGTCTGAGTTTTAATTTGTTTCTTTAATGCAAAGCATTTCTTCATTTAATATTTTACTGTTTGGAGTTGAGAAGCAGTTCTGCTTGCAACTCAGCAAGTCCCTGAATTTGTAAACTCTCCTCATTTTCTTTAAAATCTGTTTTTCTGAGTTTCCTGTCCTCTGATACTTGCCAATTATAATCAATAACAATTGCCATGTACCATTAATATTATTTTTCTCCCAATCAGTTGTCCTAGAACTATATGAGTTGCCTTCTAAGGAAAGGTGAGAATATTACCAAAAGTTTGAAACTGCATAATGTGGATTATCCTTTCAGGCTCTTCTACCAGTTATCTTCCTACTTGTCACCTAGACTCTGAATCAATTTCATGTATTTTAGCTCTGTTACCACAGCAATATCTAGTATCAATTTCTGTATCAATCGAAATAGGTTATAAATAGGTTATGTTGGTGGATATTTCCATTTGCCTCTCTAGATCTATACTTTTAATGCTTCTTTTACTACTCTTGCCTTGGGGTGAGAGTGAGGGGCTTTATGTCATTATCTGCATCAATGGATTTCTTTTGTTTTCCAGCTTCCAAGAGTGGTCATCAGTAGGATTCACTGGAAGGAGATTGGAGGGTAAAAGGAAAGTAGGGTCAAGGTTCTTCTGGATTTAACTGCTTCAGATCACTGCAATTTGGCTGAATTCTTCTACTGAAGTCTACATTTCTTATCAGGCCTCTCCATACAACCATACAATCTAAGTTCTGGTAAATTAACTCTCACTCTTCTTGCCTATTCAGATCTAGTGGTCATAACATCTTTGCAGTGATAAAATCTCAGGATAATTCATCATTCCCGGTCAGTTTTCCTAACCTCTGATGACCACAACCTTGTTAATACTCCCTTCATTTAAATCTTCCTAACCATCTATGATGAGGGACTTTATGGACTTCAGCTGATTAGGTTATGTTTCAGTAGTACACAGCCACAAATCCTTTGTGGCTTACCACAGTAAAAGTTAATTTTTTTCTAGGCCACCGATCCACATGTGTTGGCAGAAAGCCCTGTTTACCCTATCATTCAGCATCTCAGGCTTCAGCTTAAACCTACTTTGATGATCAGTCAAATGGTAGGAAGAATATAAGTTTACTCATGTGTGGACCCTTCAATTTCTGCCTGAGCGTGACACATGCCACTTTTGCTTACAGTTCTAACCTCAAAGGAGCAAAAGTATCACCCTAACATGCAACCAAAAGAGGAACACTGGAACAATTTCATGAGTACTTTACAAGTACTTCAAAAGTGGTTTTTAGAAGCATAAAATTATGATAAAATTCAAGCAAACGTTATCAGCCATATTAATGTCATATACGTAAATAGTAATAAAGATGACAGTGCACACATAGAATATGATTCTGTTCATGCTCAAGCAAATAAATCTGTTAGTGTAATGATGCTGCACAATTATCAAAAAAGGAAAGTACAAGCTCACACACAAATAAATAACTGAAAGACGAATTGTATTCAGGCCAGCTTATGTTCCTGATCGGCTTAGCTCCACCTAAACCCTGGGCCAGGGAATTAGCCATTTGCCTTACTTCTCAGAGCAGCCACAGTGATGGTTTCACTGTTCCCACGGGCTTAACTCTGCACTCCCATCACCACTGCATTCCCTATCTCTTCTAAGATTTCAAATTTTCTTACCACCCCAAGAGTGAGAGAGGGGCTTCAGTATGAATTCTGTTGCACTCTTGTGGTGTGAGGTGAAACAGGTCTAGCTTTTCAATGTTACCCATCATAACCCAACTGGACTTGTGAAAGTGCTAGCTTCCCCTACCTAAAGAGGCCAATTAAAATGCAGAAGAGTAGGAAACACCACATGTAATGATCTTTGACCAAAGAAAGGCAAGAGACCGGAAAGGGCACACTCATAAATTACTTTTCCTTCCTCTCTTGGCAGCTTTGAGATGCAGTATCATATAGTCTCCCTGAAGATATTCTATAAGACCAGTCAGTCAACTTTATTTCCTATGAACCAGAGCAGATTAGTAACATCCCATTTTAAACATACTTGCCCTGTTTCACTGTCTCACTTCATGTTACCCTCACTTTTGATTCCCTGCTATTGCACTGCCTCTCTCAGTACAGTCTGCCAAAGCAGTATAGTCTGCTTTGGGAATTTTTTTTTTTTTTTTTTTTTTTTTTAAGAACTCAGGCTCAGGAAGCTAGTATTAGGTGGGGAGCATAGAGAAAAGACCTTCAGGAAAAAATCTGGAGTTGGATTTCTCACTCCAAAAGAAATTTAGAGTGAGGGTTCTCACTCTAAAAGAAATAAATAACCAACTGTTTTGCGTGATAAATAGGGTGATAAAAAAAATCCTGCAATGCAATAGCAACACCATTATTACAATTTTAGAAGTAATTAATAGGATTTAGGCATGTTTGACTATTTTGTTCATTATTCTAATTTTAGTTTCCTTTTGATCTATATTATACTTTTGCCCAATTATTTTCTTATTTCTCTGTCACTTATATTTTCATATCTGTTTATGAAAGTTTTTGCTCACTTTCTTATGACAGAAGTACATTCTTTATTAAATGTCACAAGAAATGTTGAAATATTAGAATATCTACAGGTAAGATCTTACTTAATCATATTCCTAGAAAGAATGTCAGACCTACTACAAAAAAATCTACTGAATTTTATTTTAAATTAATCATTATATTTAGGTTGCTTTTCCAGCTGCCAATAGAATTTTTTTTTTTTTCCAAATCTGGCTGATTTACCTCATGCAGACAGGCAGGTAGCATATTGATCTGGAATTTGGTGATACTTAGTTCTCTTGCCTATGTTCTTAATTTGCTTATTTATTTTTGTAGAGACAGGGTCTCGCTATGTTGTTCAGGCTGATCTTGAGCTTTGGATCTCGTGCAATCCTCCCACCTTGGCTTCTCAAAGTGCTGGGATTGCAGGTGGGAGCCACTGTGCCTGGCCCACGTGCCCATGTTTTGAATCAGGTCAAATTCACTTAGGAATCAAAGGAAAAGTAAGAATGTTTCAGGCAGCAGCAGAAATTAACACTCCGATTTTAAATGGCATAAACAAGTAGGAGTTATTTATCTCACGTGATAAGTCTGGAGATAAGCATTTAATGGTGTTGGTTTGCATTTCCAGGTTCGTCATATTTCCCTGTTGTGTCATTCTTAGTATCTTGACTTGGATTCGCTTGTTTATTAGTTTGCTATGGCTGCTATAACCAAGTATCAGAGACTGGGTGACTTAAACAACTGAAATGTATTTCCTCACAGTTCTGGAGGCCAGAAGTCAACATAAAGGTGCTGGCAGGTTTGATTTTTTTCTGAGGCCTCTCTATTTGGCTTGTAGATGACCATCTTCTCCCTGTATCTTCATATGATCTTGCCTCTGCACATCTGTGTGTGTGTCTAAATCTCCTCTTATAAGAGTACCAGTCGTATTGGATTAGGGCTCATAATGTCATTTTAACTTAATTGCCTGTCAAAAAATTCTGTCTTCAAATACAGTCACATTTCTAGGGTTTAGGATTTTAACATATGAATGCAGGGGGACAATTCAGTCCATAATACTGTGGTTATCACTTTTTGGTCTTAAGATGATTGCTACAGCTCTACAACCCACATCTATTATAAAAACAAAAAGAAGAGAGAAAGAAATTGAGAGAGGAGAGTTCCTTGATCACTTTGCAGGACGTGCGACAGGGGTGTTGCTCATCTGTTTGGCCACCACACATTCTCAGGCCCCTTGCAGGACAGGGAGCATGCTGACAGGCAGGTGCAGCAACCCAGGCGAGTGCCTTGGGGCTCCAGCCCCAAGGTAGGATCTAAGGCTGGGTGCCTGTGACTCCTGAAGCCCAAGTGGGTGTGTGTTACAGTGTGCTCTTTTAGATTTGCCATCTGAAGACAGCTGAAGAGTGTAACCAGCTCAGTGCCCTCTTGGGACCCAGGTACTTTTCTGGTATCCAGGAAAAGTCAAGTCGCACAGACTTAAAGGATGAATGTGGGGGTTTTATTGAGTGATGGAAGTGGCTCTCAGCAAGGTGGATGGGCAGCTGGAAGGGGGATGGAGTGAGATTATTTTTCTCCTGGAATTTGGCCATCCAGCGGCCAATCTCCTCTCAGACCGTCCCCAGCCCAACTCCTCTCAACTTTCAGATGCTCCTTCTCTTCTCCTCTTCTTTGCCTTGCCACTCTGCATTCTTCTGCTCTTCTATTCATCTCCTTTTGGAGCTGGGGGTTTGGGATTTATATGGGTACAGGATGGGAGGGGATGGGAGGCCAAAAGGCAACTTTCAAGTGCAAAAACAGGAATGCCTCTTCTCATTTAAGGTTGTGGGTTTCCAGGCTTGAGGGGGTAGCCTTTGCCAGGGAACCACGCTCTTCTACCCAGTATTTCCATCTCCTGTTCATATCAAAATGAAACTTGTAATTTTTATTCCCTATTAAAAGTAAAACAAAAGCTTCCAATACCATCATCCCTCTTTCATGTAGCTGATCCATGTTATCGTTGGCTAGAACTGTGTCACATGGTTATTTCTGACTGTGAGAGAGGCTGGGCACGTGATAAGATTTTTTAGTATCTGTAGTAAAGAGGACATGGAAAAGGATGATTAAAAATGGGTTTCAGGCCACTTGATACAGAATCCGTTCCAGAGAATTTCATAGAATATTTAACAAATGCATATTTATTGATCTACTAAAAACAAAAGTCACTATGCCAAGCACTCAAGACGTGAGTAAACTGAAGATATGTGAGCAGTACAAACAAAAGACACTAAGCCAAGCACTCAAGATATGTGAGACCCTGCCTTCACAGAATTTACAGTAGTTTGTGGAAGACAGACAATTAAATTAGCAATTACAGTGCTGCATGACAATTGAAAAGATGGGGGCAGCAGTGTATACTAGAGAAACTCACAGGAGAGGCAGCAAACCTAGTCCTAGAAAACCATTAAGGGCTCCACAAAGAAAGTGACATCCATGTTTTTTCCAACTTTACTATGCATGTAATTTAATACGTACTTCACAGAGGTATTTTAGGCAGTAAGTAAATTGATATGCCAGAAATCAACAAGCACAGTACTTGGCACAAAATAATTAAAAAGTATGTGTTCATTATTCATAATTGTTTTTGTTCATTCACTGTGTCATAATAGCAAACCCTTTCGTACTTCTTAAAACACATTAGACATTATTTGAAAGGTTTCATTTTACTCATTTATTCCTCACAATAATTAAAGGAGGTAGATATTATTATTGTTCTCATTCTGCAGAGGAAGAAATGCAGACATTGAAAAGTTGAGTGATTTGTTCAAGGTCATGTAGCTATTAAAAGGCAAAGCCGAGATTTGAATTCTGCTAGACCAGCTCTCAAGTTCATCCTCTTAACTACCTGCTATCAGGCCTCTCCTCATTATATTTGGTCTCCAATATTTATTTCGAGTGGAGTTAAGAATGTATTCAATCTAAAATGATCATTTTTCCTGATGTCTGAGTTTCTATCTGTGGCAATTACCTGCTACTGTGCTACTTAAAAAAAAAATGTAAATACTTCCAAGGAAGAACATAGAATAATCATTTTATACCGAAAATGGAGTAAGTTCTATAAATTCTATCAGCACATGAAATGCCTCAGTTTTTCTATGGCTGTTCATTTTCCCTACTCGTCTTTTCTCTTCCTCCGAGATATGTCATAAACTGAATATTGTTAATTTGGCTCTCAGACAGCTAAGATAACAGATTTTAGAAAAAAAATTTTTTTTCTGGGCAATAAAATATGAAGATTTGTTTTTGTGTAGCAACTACTTTCTTATCTTGTCTTTTTGTTTATATTTATTGTTTTGTTTTCATAGTTTCTTTTTATTGAGCTAAGCTTAGCATGTTTTCTACTTAGAGCTTTGTTATAAAATATCATTGAACAATATATTCACTAACTGTAATATGGCTTTTACTTCAATTTTTCAATGACATACATTTCAGAGTTATGAAAACCTCAATTTTACTTCACTGTAGTCTGGTTGGAAGAAGAGCCTGCCAAGGTGTCATGTGCAAAAATAGGATTTGAAGAATACATTGGGAAAAAAAGAGAATTTGTCCTTGGTTTTCATGTCTAGCGTCAACTAGTAAATGTCTGTGTACCATTGCCAATTATTCAGAATCAAATTCTGTGCTTTGCAAAGTCAGCAAGTCCACAGACCTAAAAGTGCTGGTTATTTTTATGCAAATGCATATCAGGTATTAAAAATTGTGTTTCAAATAACTGTGGATTTTTCTTTGCAGGCAAATATAGTGTTAGCAAGTTTTTAACCCTACATTTTAAAACTTGTTCCCATTTAATACTATTATTTTAACAGTTCTCTCATGTAGATATTTTGTAAAGCTATATTTTATGTTTTATTTCCAATTGGTTTACAAGGTTTTCTTGGCTCTCTCATCATTTATGCTAATTGGAGTTTTGTGGAAGGAATGAAATACAAAAAAATTAAATCAAGAATTATCAAGGTTCTCGATAATTTCCAAGGATGTGCTCCTTTATTTTATTTGTTATGATGCTATTATTTCCATTTTACCTTGACACAGCAGCAGGTAATTCTTATGTTGTCTGTATAATGTATGATTTCTGTTAAAATTGCAATGGATTCTGAATAATAACTACATTTTGATATAGGCTTTCTCAACTTTCTCTTGGCAATGCCTACTTATATTTTAGACTCTATATAGATTTAACATTTGGAGTCAATTGAGTTTTGTTAAATTTCAATTTTCCCAATATGGTGATGATGTAAATTAACTAATCTTGACATGTTTCAGCTCTGTCATTAAGGCCTGACAATGAAAAACTTTATTGTGTTTATAATGGTTGCAAAATTCTAGCTCTATAAATGTCTAGCAATGCAACTTTGGGGTCTCACGGTTACTCTAAGCCTTAGCTTTCCCATTTCTAAAATGATAATGGCTGTCTTCAGCATGGTTGTCGCTGGATGACTGTGAGGGTAAAATGAGATAAGGTAAGACTTGTCTTCTCAAAATGCAGAGCAAGGAGTCTCAGGAAGAAAAGGTGGTAATATAGAGATGCAGAGTTCTTAGGAAAAGATGGTGCATCTTCCAACAGCAAGAATTTTACCAAAAGATTTTGGGGAGGAAAATAAAATAATTTTACATTAAAATCAAATATATTATTTTATGCCATTTTCATAATTGTAAATGTGTTATGGCGTGGAATCCAAGATTTAACATAAAATACTCAAAAGCAATAGTGAGAAAGGGTCTCTTCTAGGACTGAAACTCCCTTTTGTCCTTCTGTTTCTCTCAATCCCCTACCCTCCTATTAAGCTTGTATGTTTATTTTTCTCTACTGCTAAGGTGACATGACTTGAGAAATAAGCATACAAATGTGCTAAAATATGCATAAAGTGACATTTAAATATGGCATATTAATATCACCTTTGGTCTTTTAGAAATTGTGTGCAATATCTTGAAAATTCCTTCATCTAATTCAAGTTGCCATCTTCTCTTTTGCGGATAACAGCAACTGCCTTGAAACTGACCTACTGTGTCCATTCTGGTCTCTTTCAATCCTCAACTGAAATAGCGTTTTTGAAATTCTAATCCAACTGTGGCACCTTACACCACTTAAAACCTAGCTGTGACTTCACTTTTTTTTTGGAATAATGACAAAAGTTTCAACATGTTTTCTTAAGCCCTCCACAGCCTATTCCCCACCACTTTCCAAACTCTCCCTCTTCTGACTGCTCTCATTTTCTTCTGGGTCCAAATAATGTTCCAGCTCCACCACATGGCTTTTGCACATACTGTCCTCTCACCAAAATGGTCTTCCTTCCTCTCTTCATATAGTGGCCTCTCCTTTTGCTTGAGATCTTTCATTAAAAAGCAAACTTCCTAGATTAATCTTTCCCTGCCCATTCAGGTCAGGTGAAACCCCATTATTAGGCCCCCCAAACTTCCTAATCTTTCCTTGCCCTCTCAGGTTAGATAAAACCCCATTATATGAGCCCATAACACCTCATACTGTCTGTTTACAGCACTTACTACAATTGTTACCAAATACTATTTGTGCAACTATTTAATTAGGTTGTTTCTTTATTACATCCCTACTTATGCTCCATCAGTCTATCTGGTTTTATAGTAGCACACAATAAGTCCTTCATATATATTTGATGAATGAAGGTGAGAGAATGCAACTGAACTTTGTATAACATTAGTCATCGCTATCATTTTTCTAAATATTTTTTAATGAGGACCTGGAAAGTAGAGTTACAACATTCTGTCCTGCTAATAATGTTACTGGAAAAGAGTTAACTACAAAAAATGAATACCTCTTTAAATCAGGCTGCTTTATAGAAAACTATGGTCCCTAATTGCCATCATGCCTCAAACCAAGATTATGACAAGTAGGACTCAAATTCTATTGAACTGTCTATATTGCCTAAACTTTGATTTGTTTTGTTTTGATTGGTTCAGTTTGAGAGGGCTTTTGTTAAGGAGTAGAGTTCAGTTTTGGATATCATTCTCTTGACAATCATCTTAATAGATCCCCTGGTTCTCTCAAGTCTTAAATGTTGGTATGCAGTCATTCGTTGAGCATTGAATGATCTCACTTCAACTAGACCAGCGAGCACATAAATTCAATTAACATGAGGACTTCACATGAATTCCATACTGAGACCAAATAAGTCAATTCACAATGGTGATTGAAACTGGTGCTCATGCCCAGGTTTTAGATGATCTCCAAATTGAGAGGTTGACCAAAAGGAACAAATTGTTGAACTAAACTAAATTTGGCCTGAGGAAGCCTCTGTACTCAAATCCTTATGTAACAAACTTTATCCTAACTTAGTACATGAACTAACTGAAAGCTGAATTTAGAATTATACTCTTGTAACAAATTGACTGAGGCTCAGTCAATTGCAGCAGCTGAGCTTCAGTCAGTCACAGGTGGCCAGCTGATTTAAATATGGCAAAACATAGAGCTATAACTAATTAAGCTGTCTCTGTACCTCACTTCCATTTTTTGTCCATGAATGCTGTCTGACCACATTGCAGGCCAGAGTTCTTAGAATTGGTTCTGGTTCCAAGTGTTACCTGATTCTCGAATCATTCTTTGTTTAAATTCTGTTAAATTTAACTCATGTAAGATTATCCCCTTTAACAGTATTTAACACTAGGTGAGTAAGTACCTATTTTAGTAAGTTAGATGGAGATATTTAAAAAACCTGATTGTCAAAGTGATAATTTAATTATGTAACTATTAAACATCTATTTTAGGCAAGAAAAAGTGATAGGCATTGTGAGGAAAACAAAATAAATAAGCGAGCATCTCTGTCCTTAGGAAAGTTAGGATTCTGTTAGGATCCAATATTACAGGGCTGAATTGCATCCCCTCTCCTCCCTCAAATCTTTATGTCGAGTTTCTAACCCCTGATATCTGAGAATGTGACTATATTTGGAGATAGGGCCTTTACAGTGGTAAATAAGATAAAATGAGGTCATATGGGTGTGCCCTAATCCAGTATGACTGGTGAGCTTAGAAGAAAAGATTAGGATACAGATACAAACAAAGGGAAGATCATGTAAAGACACAAGAAGAAAATTGTCATCTACAAGCCCAGGAGAGAGGCCTGGAATAGATAGAGGCCTGGAACAGATATATCCTCACAACCCTCAGAGGAAACTGACCCTGCTGACACCTGATCATGTACTTTCCAGCCTCCAGAACTGTGAGGAAATGCATTTCTGTTATTTAAGCCACCTAATCTGTGGTATTTTGTTATGGCAGCCCTCAAAGACCAAGTCACATACCATGTCTAGGATTATACTCAGATCTGTCTGATCCAAAGCTTTTACTAAATGATATGTTCTGTTTGCTTCTTTGCAAATTTATCACACTAACTGCAAAGCTACTTATACTACAAATTAAATACCCTATAGAGGATAAGCAATTCTGTGGAGCAATTTGAGCAATACTGATGTCAACTACTTTTATTTTGCCTTTTATACACTTGCTTGATTGTCAAAATAGTGTCTTACTAGGAAGTAGTATAGGAAAAGCAGTTGCGATTACTTAAGGTATATTAGAGGTGCTATTCCTTAAGGTAATTAGAGGTGCTTAAAACTCACAAAAGAGTATGTAATCTCCAATCTAACTTATATTTTTCAAATTTTTGGTGACTAGACAATTGCTTCCATAAGTGTTTATAATATCATATATTCTTATTTGTGTACATTGCAAAAATTTGGCTAGAAATAGCTAAGATTAAAAATACTTGGATGGCTTCATTCTGATAAAAGTAATCAGTACTCAAAGAAAGAATTTATAGTACTCAAAGAGAAAATTATATTACTCAAAGTTAGGATTATTTTTTCTTTTTTTCTTTTAAACTCATTAAACACCTTCCATGTAATACACAATGCACAGTTACATTTCAGGAGGCTTTCCATGAATGGAAAATATTACTAACCAGTGCACAGAATATCAGAGTAAAGATGCTAAATCCTCAGTCTGTGATATCTTAGTGTGACTGATACTAATCCTGCAGACTGCATTACTTCACACTTACGTTAAAAAAAGTCATCACCTTGCGAATCGTTTTTTAAATTTACAACACATAGAGGGGGCATCAGGAGATGGACTGCCACCTTTTGCGGGCTCCCCAGAGGATATTGTCTACCAATTACATTCTAGCCCACAGCATTGTGAACAGCAGACAATAGGATGCAAAGCAGTTCATCTCTGCCAACAGACACCACCACTCAGCAAATCCTGGTGAAGTTGGCATTTTATGGATAACGTTTCCCAAAATAGCTGCAGCTTAACATTTTCTGAAGCCAAGCCCACTGTGTATCTATTTCAATATATAACATTCTCAACTGAGGATCTAACCAATAAAACCTAAACCAACTGGCATTATATTAGGAGCCACGTATCAGAAGCATAACTAACTATGCTCTTCTCATTCTGAAAATGAACAAATGAAAATACATGACTACAGGGTTGGCTAGCTAAGTAAATACTATGGATTTTGAAACTATTACTGTCTTGTTCGTTCCTGTAATTAAATTTTGAGAGTTTATGTATCAGAAACCTTGAAAAGCCTCCTAATGACTGACCCCTGGTAACTAGGTCTTTTGAAAGAAGGTACTGTTGTACCATGGCTGGCCCCAAATAAGACCCAAGGTCTTCATGGTTTACTTGGAGGGTGAAATTGATAAATCACTTGTCCTGATTCCTGAAAGATCCTCCCTTCATGTTCTGCAGTGAATGTAATACGGTACATTTTCATTAGGGGAAAGCACAGAGCTCCAGGCAGCATACTCTACTGAGATGCTGTAAAAAATTCAGGTAGCATACATATTAGAGCATATATTAAGAGAACACAGCTAGTATAAGTATCTTTTCCTATAAATCAAAAGATTAGAAACTACAAAAGCTACGTTAATTTTTTACCTTTAGAAAATGCCAACTATATGTGTAACCAAAGGGGATGTAAAGATAACCTGCAAAAACAATGTAACAGTTACTTCTTTTATAAATTTAGACACATTTTTTGAGTTAATCCCCAACAGCATTGTATTTACTTTTAAAGTATTTCCCTTGTTAGACCTTACTCCCCACCCTTTGTACAATATGAATGCATAGATGTTTCCATCCGTACAGTTTACCCTTTTGACAGCTGCTCGAACTATTCTGAGGACTTCGTAAGAACATTTAGAAAGGCACAAAAAATCCTGATTGCTAAGCATAAAAAAGAAAGTATGTATAATATGGGAAAAAGTTGTGAATTTTTATTCCCCACTTATCTGAGCTCCACTTTTTAAACATATATAGAGTCAGCATGGCTCTGTAGAAGGAGCACAAGACCAGGAGGCATCAGGGTTACATATTTCTCTGCCAGCTCTTACACAAGCCAGCTTTGTGCTCTTACACCAGCACACAGCACCTCAGAATTGGCATTAATGATCCTTCATATCCTGTCTAGATATAACACTTTATGGTTTTGTTTTGCAGGTTTTTCCCACAGCGTATTATCTGTCTATCTTGTATCCCATTTTTTTAGGAAATGCTTATCAGGTAGAACAAACTTTATTTTATTTTTACTTAGCAGTGCCAATTTTCAAAATCTACTGATGTGTTGGGTAATTTGGAAATGTGTGGTTAAAAAGAGAGACTTGACTGCTGACAAAAATATTTCCAAAATTGTATTATATTGTGTGATTTAAAAAGTGCCAAATTGAGATAGTTATTTAAACATAACAAGTTGATACTTACTGGGTAGAGCAACTGTTTATAAATTTAAAGAGCTTATCATGGAGCAAAGAGGAAGGATTTACACAGTATATACAGAGAGGTCAGAGACTGAACAGATTAATTTAAGGAATGATGGCACATTAAGAAAAAATTGTTTTTTAGAGCTTATTGGTTTATCTGCTTAAAAAAGTGAATCTCTTATTATCCTTTCTCTTGCTGTTTTCTAAAGATATTGTGCTGTGACTTGTATACATTGATAGGATAAAAGGAGTAGAATATTTTATATTTTATCTATATTTATCTATAGTACTTACTACATTAAACATTCTAATTCTCATATCTCTACCTACCAAATTCTTCTCACAAAAAGAGACAAACAATAATGAAAAACTATTTGAATAACTAAAGAAACAGGATGCACATGCACTAGAATTTAGGGGGTTATTTTTATTTTTATTTCATTTACTATTTTTTTCTTTAGTTTCCCTGATTAATTATATTTTTTGAGATATGAATTCAAATAATTATCTTCAGATTTTTATGTAATTTGTTGGTATGTTAGAAAAGTAAAGTAAAAGTGCTGAGGTAGCCAGTAGAGATAAAGGCTAGGTCTCTGAATATGAGCAGAAAGGGAAATGCTCATAGCACTACCAATTGTTTGCACTCTGCAGTGGGAGAATGTCAGAACAGCCAGTTTGTGAGCCCCAAGCTGAAGTGGCTGCTGCTGTTGTGCACAGGACATTCTCTGTGCTCTTTTCCCTATGAAAGCACTTCCTATGTAGTCTTTTGTGAGTCTTTGCTTTTATTTTTACTGGATGCATCCATACTGTCCACCTAAAAATTGAAATTATTCTTCAATAAAACATAGCTAAGAGAGGTCATCCTTTCATCTGTCTTTGCACATCCTAAAATAAAGGCATTGTTAAAGAAATAAAAGAAAGAGACATTTATTGAAATTACTACTAATTCAGTAAACACTTACTGAATGACTAACATAAGGTAGTCTCTATGTTAGGCTTTGGAGATATGTCACATTCAACAAAATTGTGCACATAATTTTTGGACATCAAGCCACAGAGTTGGAAGATACCTTGAAGATATGTTATTAAAACCCCATGGCTGAATCTTACTTCTTTTTCTTTTTTGTGTTCTTCTTAGTTAATTGTGTTTATAAAATAGTTACACTATGCCAGGATCTTTACATATGTTACCTATTCAAGGCATGTATTATTAGCTCAAGTTTTAGATAAGGAAGTTAAGAATCCATAATACTAAACTATTTTCCAAAAATCACACTGTGGCTGACAGATCCTAGGGTGGCTTCCCATGATTACTCTCTCTGAATATTTAAGTAACACACATAGCATTTTAGATAGAGGCCGAATTCAAATTCAGAGGCAGTGATCAGAGGCAAGTATCCATGCTCTTATTTAATCCCTTTACGCTGAAGTGATCAGAACCTGTGTCATCTTTCTAACTAACAGAATATATGGTAAATGTGGTAAGATATAAGACATATGCTTATATTACATTATATAAAACTTTGTCTTGCTGGTGGATTTCTACTATAGACTCACCTTTCTGGCTTGCTAAAATAAACAGCCACGTTGGAGAAGCCCATGAGACAAAGAACTGTGTGAAGAATCTAGGAGTGGCATTTGCCTAAGAGACATCAAAACACAAAACAAAACAAAACAAAACAAAAAACAAAGATCTTAGTCCTGAAAGGAAATTGTTTTCTTTTGAAATGAGCCTTCCTACAGTTTAATTCCAGTCAATATACTGAAGGATCTTGGAAGTGGACCCTTCCTCAGTTGAGTCTTCTAATGAGAACTCAGTGCGGGCCAACACCTTGATTTCACAACATCTTGTGAAAACATAAGGAGCGGACCTAACTAAGCTGTGCCCCAACTCTTGACCCACGTATTCTGTGAAATAATAGATGTGTATTTTTATGTTGGCAAATTATAGTTATTTGTTATATAGTAATGTACAACTAACACACATAATATTTTACATAGAGGCTGAATTCAAATCCAAATTTGTCTGGCACTTAAACTTATTCTCTTTCTGTAATACCAATTCATAAATTTAAGTCCCAGGATCCTTGCCATAATAATCATCTAGAGGTCTAATGCAAATATTGGTTTTTGGGTTTCACAGCTGTCCTATAAACAGAATCTCTAGGATAAAGGCTGAGGATTTACATTTTTCACAAGCTTCTATAGTGATTATTATATATATTATATAATATTATATATTAAAGTTGAGAATATTATTATGTATATATTAAAGTTGAGAACATTTCAGTATACCTTATGAAGCTGGAGTTGTTTATTTCAATTACTTAGAATGGGTATAGGTCAGAACATCCTTTTATCCTTTAAGAAAAGTTTTTTTTGGAAGGCTGACCAGTTTTTTTTTTTTTTTTTTTTTTTTTGAGACGGAGTTTCGCTCTGTCGCCCAGGCTGGAGTGCAGTGGCGCGATCTCGACTCACTGCAAGCTCCGCCTCCCGGGTTCACGCCATTCTCCTGCCTCAGCCTCCTGTGTAGCTGGGACTACAGGCACGCGCCACCATGCCCGGCTAATTTTTGTATTTTTAGTAGAGACGGGGTTTCACTGTGTTAGCCAGGATGGTCTCGATCTCCTGACCTCGTGATCCGCCCGTCTCGGCCTCCCAAAGTGCTGGGATTACAGGCGTGAGCCACCGAGCCCGGCCAGTTTTTTTTTTACTACAACAAAAGAATCAACCAATAGTAGAGAGAGAATCATGTCCTTTGAATTTAATTTTTATATTTTCAAATGCATTATTATGAAGAAGTTAATACAATATATTCTTATTTTAGGGCTCCAAATAAAATAGATATAAATAAATAAAATGAGACATTTAAGACAAATGAGACATTGAGACTTTCATGATTAAGAATTTGTGAGCAAACCATGACAGCTTAAGAAATATTTTTGTTTTAAACTTTAGTAATTCTCTATTTTGAAAAGTCTCAAAATACCTACTTTAAGTCACATTACACCTATCAGGAGACAATAATAATAATTAAGAATAATGGGCATCATATAAAAAAAAAAGTCAAAATGTTTGCCAGCCCAAAACATCCTGGACCTGCATTGAAAATTGGTGATTACCAGGCAACTGAGTAAGTTACTTTACTTTTTAGAGGTGGCTACATAAATTCCAAGTACAGATTTAGAGTTTCAATGTCACCTTTTCCTAAAACTCAATTTAATATGTCTCACAGACAAAAACTACATGGGCAGTGTTGATCTCCACTGTATGTACCTACTGGCTAGCACAGTGATTGATGCCGAGAGGGCAATCAATACATATTTTCCAATGGTTGGCTAAGTATAAAGCTGGCAAATCTATCAGTCTTTATCTTTTTTCAAGACTTGTTACTTCAGGACAGAACTTCTTAACCTGATTTACAGATATATCAGTACATAGACCCCTTCAATGCTGCCTTAGAGGGCCTAGGACGGCTACAGCCCCCAACTTGGTTACTTTGAGACATAAGTAGCATTATTCATTTACCTCATTATGCCTGTTACTACTTACTATGTGCATTGTGACTTTAAAGAGTTGGAGAGTTCTACCTTAGTGCTTGTATGGCATAAAGGAAGCAAAACCCAGCAAACCTTTACCGAACAGGTACTACAATTTATGAGAGATACAGAGTCTTGCTGTTTTAATTTTGCTTGTTCATTTGACTCCTGAATGTGGAAGACAAGTTTCCCAAAACATCACTAGAAATGTCTTTGCAAAACCAAGTAGGTTAAAAAAAAAACAACCCACATCTTGTGATCTGCAAGTGTTAGTTTAAATATTAAAGACTTCAGATATTAAGATAATAATATAACATGGTAGTCTGAAAAAACCCTAGTTTTCTCTTTTTACAAAAGTTTAGACTTTTGTCTAAACTTAGCCTAGGAGAGTGAAGAGTCTTATCTATTCAGATGGAGAACCTGTTATTTGAATCATTCTCTGATGCTCATTCTTTAATATATATTTCAAATTTTAAGCAATACAAATCTCAACGACTGTTGGAAATTAAGGAGTAATCTGACAGGACTGTTCTAGTACTTAGAAAACAAAGAAAAACATGTTCTTCACTATCAGGAAATTCACAAGACAGAAAAAGAGAAATCCACTTAGGCAAATAGACAACTATAAGTGAAAAGGACTTTGGAACTCCCATAGCACCTCTGGGAAATCTCTTGGGTGAATGTCAAATGTACCTCCTATGTTTATGTATGTGTATCATGTAAGTGTTGGGTCTCTCTCTTTCTCTCAGCACACACACACACACACACCCCACATACATTCCCAGCTCTCCTGTTGTGGGACAATTACTATCTATTTGTGTGTTGACAGGAATACACAGAAATATTATACTACCTGGTTTCTCTTGAAATTAGACTTAACCAACTGTCTTGCTTGAGTGACAGCAAATATAATGTGCAATTTTTCTATGTGGAAGGGTTTAATTGCCAGAACTCAGGTCTCCAGAAATTTCTTTTCTAGCATCAATAATAACAGCACAAATTAATGAGAAGGCACTCTTAGATCAAAGCAGCCTGGAATGCTGAGCCACCACATGGAGAAAAGTTGACCTGAAGAGACTAAGTGTACTAAATATTTAAAGAGTGATGAATATGATAAACAATAAATTGTTTGTGTCTTTGTCACATAAGTGCTAATTTTTTGTTAACACAACACAATCTGGTCCATTCTCACTAAAATATCTTTTAAGGATAGATATTAATCCTTAAGATAATTGAATCTTAACTTAGAAGTATATAGCAAAACTGTCTCCTAATTTTCCATGTTAATTTCATCTCCAAATGAAAAAATATATAATTTTATTTAGATAAGTTCAGTTATTTTTTATTTCATTATTAATATCACCTCCTGGCTCCACCTCCTTGCATTTTCAATTTATTTATTCTTAGGTACATTTAGAATAAGATAATTGAACATTTTAATTTTGTATTTTGTCTCATTAGCTATAAAACCCATTACTTAGACCCTAACAAGAGAATGCTATAATCCCAAATTTATATTTAATGGTAATATAAGCAGAAATAATTGTTCATTTGTTTAAATTGCATGTATAAATTTGACAGAATTAGATAAATTCTGTAAACTAATTTTCCCCACCTCACTTGGGAGGCCATCATTTAAATTCAAATTCAGGAAATGCAAAATGTTCCTATGAGATAGCATACAAGACAATCATTCCTAAATAGTCATCAGATTTTCCAAAGGCAAGATGAAAGAAAAAATATTAAAGGCAGCTAGAGAGAAGGGGCATGTCACCTAAAAAGGGAACCCCATCAGATTAACAATGGACGTTTCAGCAGAAAACTTACAAGCCAGAAGAGATTGGGGGCCTATGTTCAGCATTCTTAAGAAAACAGAAAGAAAAAAGAAATTCCAACAAAGAATTTCATATCCAGTCAAACTAAGCTTCATAAGCAAAGGGGAAATAAAATCTTTTTAACACAGGCAAATGCTAAGAGAATTTGTTACCAGACCTGCCTTACAAGAGGTCCTGAAAGGAGTGCTAAATACGGAAAAGAAAGACCCTTACTGACCACCACAAAAACACACTTAAGTATAAGACCATTAACTCTATAGAGAAACCACACAAACAAGGCTGCCTAATAACCAGCTAACAACATGATGACAGGATGAAATCCACACATATCAATATTAACCTTGAATGTAAATGGGCTGCAAATTCTTCTACCATGAAAACACAAACACACATATATTCATCACAGCACCATTCACAATAGCAAAGCCATGAAACCAACCTAAATTTCCAACAATGGTAGACTGAATGAAGAGAATGTGGTACATGATCAACACTATGCAGCTATAAAAAAGAATGAGATTATGTTCTTTCCAGTAACATGGATAGAGCTATGGGTCATTATCTCATGTGAACTAACACAGGAACAGAAAATCAAATACTACATGTTCTTACTTATAAATAGGAGCTGAACATCGAGGACACAAAGAAGGGAAGAACAGACACTGAGACCTAATTGAGGGTAGAGGGTAGGAGGAGGATGAGGATCAAAAAACCACCTATCAGGTTAGCACCTAATTGCTTATTACCTGTATATTAATAATCTGTACACCAAACTCCCATGACATACAATTTACCTATACAACAAACCTGCCTGTATACCCCAGAACCAAAAATAAAAGTTGAAAAGAAGGCTATACAGTAAACTGTGTCAAGCATTAATGCCCAAAGAAGGGAATCATTAATTCTGTCTCAATGGAATAGAAAAATTATCTAGAAGTACCACTGAAATATGATATCTAATGCAAAAGTGAAAAGGAATGTGAATAGCCAAAAAATTATACATGTGTGTGTCGTGCCAAACATATACCATATATAGTGTATACATATATAAAAATGTATGTTTATGTTTTATATATACGTGTACAACTGTGGAGAGTTACAAAGCAATTAGAAGCAAAGGCCCACTTGTACACTCAGCAATGTGGATAGGCTTTTAAAGGTAATACAGAATAATAACAGTAAGAAACAATAAGATCTAGACTACAAGTCACAAAAAAATACATGCACACAAAACAATATGCAATGTAAAAGAACACATATAATTAAAGCGATATATGCCAAATGCATTGGAATGTTTATCTGTGGCATGAGAAAGGGGTGGTAAATAGGGATAAAAAGAAAAAAATAAATGAATTGGATGGGAAAGAAGCCTTGAAAATACAGGGAATGAGTTTATAACATGAGCTGAAGATTCTGATGAACTCAACCTTCAGCTCATAGGTGTCCATGTCTTCTAAAGATGTTCCCATGCCTTCTAAAGCAGTATATGTTGCTTTGGTAAGCCTGCCTAGTCACATTCAGGAACAAAGGAACCAAAATTAGTAATGGAATGGGGTTGGTCCTGAAATAGCCCATAGTGGGTTTGGAGGCTACAAGAAAGATCAAAAAGAGCTTCCCATACACAGGAGAATAAGCATAAAAAGGAACTAGGTTTATTGGACAGATTTTATTGCTGATGGGATTAAAAGGGTGGAATGAAGAGAGCTAAAGCAAGAAATATATTCTGGCTACTTAATTTTTAATCTTGTGTTAACCACTGCATGTATTTATACAATTCTCACTATAACTAAAAGGCAATGATTCTCAAACCTCACTGTTAACAGTATGAATATATAAGGAGGACACGTGAAATTTTTCTGTGTGTGGAAAGAAAATAATCAAATTCTGGAGCAGTTGAATAAAAATTATGAGTAGTAAAAAGTAGGAGAAGATTTCCTTAGAAATGAAATCTCTAAAATGTGAGAAAAATTTGGAGGATAAACAGAAAAACAAATAAAAAATTAAATTGAACACTGATATTTCCCATAGTCTATATAAAATTTTTCATTCACAATATTAAGAATATTTGATTAAATTATGATTTCATATTTAAAGATTATCGTAGAAATAGATGATACCTAACTTCATTGGCAATGTGCATCAAATGCTAGTATGCTTCAAAATATCTAACCAGTTTCTAATTATCTATTGAAATATTAAGCCATAGCAAAATATATCAATAGAGAATACAATTTCAATTTAGTCTAATATGTTGGTACCTTAGAACATAAATAAAATCTAGTTTGGGTTTTTTTTTTTTTTGATAAATACTGAACTGCTATTATTTATTTATTTATTTTTAGTTTTTGTATTGGCTTCTGGAAAGAAATTCACTTTAAGTTTATATTTTGTAAATGCTGAAAACTCCTTCAGAAAAAAGAAAGCAAAGTAGAAACACAGAAAAAATTGAATTATTTCTGAACTGAATCTAGAAAATTCTCATTACTATTTTTTTCTGAAGGTTTGTAATTTAAAAATATCTTAATGAGGTTGTATTAGTAGTATAAATCGTGTTTAAAGTAACACAAGATGTAAATGAATTTGAATCTGCTTATGTCATATAGGACTGGAAAAATTACTTATGTTAAAAGAAATATTCTTTTTTTTTTTTTTTTGAGACAGAGTCTCGCTCTGTCACCCAGGCTGGAGTGTAGTGGCGCTATCTGGGCTCACTGCAAGCTCCGCCTCCTGGGTTCACGCCATTCTCCTGCCTCAACCTCCCGAGTAGCTGAGACTACAGGCGCCTGCCACCACCCCCGGCTAATTTTTTGTATTTTTAGTAGAGACGGGTTTTCACCGTGTTAACCAGGATGGTCTCAATCTCCTGACCTCGTGATCCGCCTGCCTCAGCCTCCCAAAGTGCTGGGATTACAGGCATGAGCCACCGCACCCGGCCAGAAACATTCTAACCATTCTTTCAAATTCAATTTTCTCACAAAAAATATGTTTCACTTGCTCACAAATTCTGAGGTCTATATTACCTGCGTAATCTTAGTAAAATACAAATAAATCACATTTATTGAGCTCAAGCACTTACTGCATACCGGGCACTATTCTAAGCAGTTGGTACATATTAAATCATTTAGTTTTCAGCACAACTCTATGAGATACTTAACATTAGGAAGAAATTGAGGCACGGGTAATTGAAGGCTCTTTGCCTAAGGTCATAGAGTGAGCTAATGACTGAACTGAGTTTCGAACATGTGATCTGGCTCCAGAATCCTTATTCTTAACTACTTGCCATCTTTCTTCTCAAGTGTGACAGTTACAGACAGCTCTTGTCATCTGGCGGGAGGGAACCTTGTCTAGATCATTTCATATTATTCTGCTATATTTACTCAACTTCACTGCCAGTCTGCTCCTTAAATCTATAAGGTATATTCCTGTTTCCATGGTCGTTTATGTTGTCTTTTCCAATCTAATGCTTGTCTTCTTTTCAAATAGCCAGGTCAAAAGTCATTTCCTCTGTGACTTTCCCCACCTGGTCTTACCAAAGTGGATTTCGTCTTCCCTACTTTATGCATCTGTGGTCATCTAACACTTAGCTTACACCATTTATATATATTTTTTCCCCACATATTACTTTCTGCCTTGTCTTGTGGTTGTATGTGTACATTTTTATACCCCTAAATAATCTCACAGTGTTTGAAGATAAAGTCTGCTTTCTTTTTTATTTGTAGTAATTGCATCTAGTTTTATCATCAAAAGTATATCTCTTGAATGAATATATTAATACATAAATAGATAAGTGATTTAAATAGAAGACCAAAAGTGTTAAAGTGAATCAATCTCAGGGAATTAATTCAAGAGTTTACTTTCGGGCAGTACATTATCATTCTTTTTCAGATTGCTGGGACTATATTATAAATAAATTTGAGTAACTGTTAAGAATTCATTTACTCATGAAGTTTACAATGTACTTTTCACATTGTAAGATTCTGAGTCAAAAACATGTAAAAATAAGGTAGAATGACCTAATACTTCAAAGAATATATAAAACAGGTATAAATTACAAGTGATGATTTTCAAATTTGGACAGAACACCCAAAATTGATGTCCTGAATATATTCTGGAATACTTAATAATAGAAACTATGTGTTTTTCTCTATAGTTACAATATTTAATAGTGCACATCCATAGAATATAATTAATATATTCTAACTGAATAAAAGAATGTGTGAATTAGTACAAAAATTAGTGAATAATGAGAGAATTTTAAGAAATAACCAGAGAATGTAAATTTGCTTAAACTTTGACCTTAGAAAAAATTACTTTTTGGTTAGAGAGCTGAGAAAGTTTACAGTCACTAAAATAATTTTAGACTCTTCCTCTTGGTATAAATCATTGTAATTAATAAAAACTGAGAAAGCATTTATTACCAAGAACAATACATAAACAGGCAGATAAATATACTAACAAGGATTTGATATATTTACCTTATAATTTGTTTTTACTTCTAATACTTTAGGGCATTCACATTCACCTTGATTTCAGATAAGTGCTATAGTTAGAATTCCACTGAAAATAACACCATAGGAATATAATTCCAAGACAAATAAGAAGCTTATGTTAAATAATTAATCAAAATTTATATAAGAAAACAAAACATAATAGCCAGCAGAAAACAAAACCAACAAAATCAACAGTAAAGAGATGTCAAATAGCAGGGTTATTGAGCACAAAATAAATGTAAAATGTGTATTTTAACCCATTTCAAGAATTAAGACCAAGCAGATTTGAAAAGTAGAAAAATTGTACACCTAAAAACTGAAAATAAGAGTAATTAAGAATAAAGTAGTGAATTTATATGACAGCAACATAGATGCAGTTGAAGAGAGAATTAGTAAACTAAAAAACCAATTGCCAAAAATATATGGATAATGCAGTCCAGAAAAGCAAAGAAATAAAACATTCTTTTAAAAGGAATAACAGAACTGGAGGCTTAAGAGAAGGTATGTTTTCAAAAATTAGCCGGGCATGGTGGCACGTGCCTGTAGTCCCAGCTACACGGGAGGCTGAGGCAGGAGAATGGCGTGAACCCGGGAGGCGGAGCTTGCAGTGAGTCGAGATCGCGCCACTGCACTCCAGCCTGGGCGACAGAGCGAAACTCCGTCTCAGAAAAAAAAAAAAAAAAAAAAAAAAAAAAGAGAAGGTATGTTTTAGTTTGGGTTTCCTTGAAAGCAGAATCTCAAACCATAACTTAGGTTTAGTTTATTTACCTTTATGATGATAGTAGGGAATAACAGCACAAACTAGAGTGGAAAAAAGAGAAGGAAAAGTTGTGGCTTATTATTAAATTATCATTGTAGGCAACAGGCACTCAATCTCATTGTGTATTCCTTAAGGGACCATGTAAGAAGTGCTTCAGAACTGAACCTCAAAAATCAGGGAGGCTGAGAAAGTTATTAATAGATCCTCAACTGCTTTAGTTGAAGGATGTTCCTCAAAGTTTCAGTTTTCCCTGTAGTTACAGGCTATGCCTGTGCATAAACTGAGCAGTTCTCCATAGCTTAGGATAAAGTCCTGAGGCAGAATGCAGAGAGATGCTTTTATTATGTGTACCCTTGAAGTGAGACAGTGGCAATGTGCAAGTAACTGTCAACCACAGCTCTGCTGACATCAGATTAGCCAAAGGGATGTGGTGCAAGACACAACAATGTCTGCTTCAATATCTACTATAAAAGTAATGAGTTAAAAAAGGAGAGGAAAGAATAAAAATTAATCAATATTTTAGATATAATGAATAGAAAGGCACCAGGTAGAAAGAAAAGATTTGAAAAGCAGGTAGAGAAGAAAAGTAGAATACCTTTTTAGGAGTAGTTGCAAAACTCTAAGATAGCTGGACACAGTGGCTCACACCTGTAATCCCAGCACTTTGGGAGGCCAAGGCAGGCGGATCGCTTAAGGTCAGGAGTTTGAGACCAGTCTGGCCAATATGGTGAAACTCTGTTTCTACTAAAAATACAAAGAATTAGTGAGGCATGGTAGTATGCGCCTCTAATCCCAGGTACTCGTGAGGCTGAGGCATGAGAATCATTTGAACCCGGGAAGTGGAGGTTGCAGTGAGCTGAGCTCATCCTACTTCTCTCCAGCTGACAGAGCAAGTGCACTCCGGATGACAGAGTGAGACTCCATTTCAAAAAAGAAAGAAAGAAAATAAAACCTCTAAGGTGACTTATCAACAGTAAGAATTGAAACTGGATGACAGTGGAACATTATATTTAACATGCTGAAAAATATCTGTTGAACTAGAATATATAATCAGCTAAAAATAAATTGTAAAATTGTGAGCAAAATAAAACCATATTTTGTCAAAAACTGAGGGAGTTTCCACCAACAGAACAATCTCACTGAAGTAAAATATAAAAATACTTAAGTTATAAGATAAAATATCAAGATAAAAATAATAAACATAAACAAAAAGAAAAAGTGGTGAATGTGTAAATAAATCTAAGTGAAAACAGCATACAAAAATAATTTCTTATGGTTTAAAAAGAGAACTAAAAATACATAAACATGTTTCTTAGTATGTAATATAAATCAAAAAGAAATATTTGGAATTAGAGTTTAGTTTTTCAGAATATTTGTTAACTTTAGATCTTATAAAATATGTATAGTAAAATCACATGCATAACCACCTAAAATAAGAGTATATAATTTTCAATATAGGCAAAATGTAAAATTGAATACTAAACAAATACAAATAAATTCAGAAAAAAAACACACAAAATAACAAATATGACAAGTGCCAAGGTCTAAATGTGTCTTTCAAAATTCATGTGTTAAAACTTAATGGCCAATGCTTGAGTATTAAGTGGTGGGCCCTTTGGAAAGTGATTGAGTCATTAGGGCAGAGCCCTCATGGATAAGATTAGGGCTCTTATAAAAGTCTTGTGGGAGTGGGTTTGCTCTTTTGTGCTTTTCTGCCATGTAAATGCATAGCAAGAAGGCCCTGATAAGACAGCAGACTTGCCGGTGCCTTGATCTTGGACTTTGCAGCCTTCAGAATTATGAGAAAATAAAAAATTTCAGTTCTTTATAAATGACTTAGTCTCTGGTATTTAGTTATAGCAGTGCAAATGGACTAAGCAAGAAAAATAGCATAAAATGTGATGGAAATAATCCAAATGTGTCAACAAGTGTAACAAATCAGTTAAACAATCCACTTTACACTCTACAATAAATCAGTTAAATACTCCACTTTACATTCAAAGATCATAAAAATACATTTTTAAAATTCAGCTATATGTCTCTTCAAAGCCTAATCCTTAAGAAAGTGTGTGTTTCTGCATTTCCTCTAGTGCCTCTGCCGTTTCTCGAAAAGAACATTCTTTGGGTACCAATGGTTCCAGAACCTGAGAGAGATATGAATATAACCTAAATTGAACCTGCAGTTTGTAGGCAAGCCCAGCCAATCTCAGCTAATAACAACATAACTGATTCAGTCAGTAGAATTCCCAGCAGATGCCTAAATTATAAATAAATGCTTAATGTTGAATGCCATTAAGTTTTCATTTTTTTTTTTTTTTTTTTTTTTTTGTTACACAGCATTGTTTTAGCAAAGGCTAAAATGATGCTCTTTAAAAGAGAAAGGTAAAATGTAGTCAGAAAAGCTGAAATTCAAAATACGGAAAAATTACAAGCACAGTACAAATAAAAGGAGCCAAAGTGTATTATCAGACAAAATAGACAGCATGACTACAGAGAAGACTGTCACTATACAATTTTTTAAAATTAGGGTTTAATTTACCTTTAACAAGTATCAAAATATATAAATCAAAAATTGAATAAATACAAGAAGCAAAAAGACAACAATCATATTTGGATATTTTTAACACATTTTTTAGTGTTTGATTATTGACAGTTCAAGCATTCAAATACAGTAAAAAAATTAGAAAAATCAAAAAACATAATTTTCAGATTTAATCTAATGGACTCATGCAGAGCACTTGAAATATTACTACACACTCACATTTATAGGACTTGCACGAAGACAGACTCTAACTGATCCATGTAATAAGTATCTATGTCAATGAAATTAGGGTGGAAATCAGCAGAAAATATAACTAGACAAATTCCATTGTTTGGAAGTAAGAAATACATTTCCAGTCTTTCCACATTATTGCACTACATGGTATTTCCACTGCCTTTTAGTTTAGCCATTTTTGCATGTAGTCGTATCACATTGTAGCTTTAATAAACATTTTCTTTGTGACTAAAGATGTTGAGCATCTTTTCATATTTTTATTTTCCATTTCATATCTCTTTTTATAAAATACCTATTAGAGTTGTTTTTTAACTGACTTGTCTCTACTTTGTTGTTATTAATAAATTATAGGATGTCTTCTTGTATTTTTGGTATGCATGTCTTTTTTTCCTGATATATTTATGACAAGTTTTCTATTTCTTTGGCTTTATTTACACACTTTAATGCATCTTTGATGAACAAGTTCTTAATTTTATTATTGTCTAATTTGGCACTTTTCATAGGTATTGCTCGTGTACTTTGTGTGAGAAAATTTTGCTTACTCTGTTGTCATGAATATATTTTCCTTTGCTTTTCCCCCACAATCCTTATTTTTTCACCATCATCATTTATATTTGCAACCCATGTGGGATTAAGTTTTGGGTAAGATGGGAGATAGGGGAAGGTTCTAAATGCATTTATTTCCTTATGCATATCCAATTGATTCAGCATCACTTATGAAAATATTTTTCCACACTTCAATTCTGTTTCACTTCTGTTAAAAATCAGAACACTATATATAAATGAATCTATTTCTGGATGCTCTATCTAACTCTAATACAGCTTGCCGAATCATAAATTGGTACAACAACTTTGAAAAGCCATTTGGAAATATCTGCTAAGTTTGAACATATGCATCTACTTATGGTTCAGCAATTCTATTCCTAGGTGTGTCATAATTTGAAGGTGTTATCGATTGCTTCAGTGGCTCCCCTAGGTACTGGCGTCACACTGCTTGTTTTGAACTTTTGCTTAGTTATTGCCCATTTCTGGGTGCCCATCCCCAACATGTGTATTAGAGTGAAAAGCCTCATGAGGAATTTCCCATTATACTCATTCCCTACTTTCTATGTTGACTCATTTATTTTCAAAGTACCCTGACAAGAATGCTCCACAATACACAAGCTATGCCATTCATGGTCCTCAATGAAGGCACTGGTCCATGGGTTCTCACTCTGTTCTCTCTCTCCCTGCATTTGTGTGTGCCTCTGGGTATGGTGTTCTTCCCTCTCCAGGACCTGTGAGTATAATCAATCCCTCAATTTCATATGCCTGTCTGTGTAATTTCCCTAACTGTGTTGGAGTGATCCATAGTAACCCCACAAGGAAAGTTACTCCCTCACTTATAAAAGTTGTAAATTACAAATAAACATCTACATGTGTTTGCCAAAAGACAAGTACCACAATGTTTAGAGAAAGGTTATTTGTAATAGCTAAACACCGAGAACTACCAAAATGTTCACAAATGTTGCAGTGGATAATTATGGTATATCGTACAATGAAATATATAGAACAATAAAAATGAATTAACTATGACTATGCATAATAGCATGGATGGATTTCACAAACACAATATATAGGGGACAACACCAGCCAAAAGTGGGTAGGGATCTTATGTGATAAAGTTACATTACAGACAAAACTAATCTGTCATGCTAGAAGAAAGGCTATTGTTGTTCATTTATTGTAATAGCGTTCAAAAATAGGAAAAAATTTGAGCTACTTATAATACTCCATTTCTTGAATTGGATGTTAGTTGCATAATACATTGTTGTATTCAATTTATGAATGTTCAGTTCACTGTACATTGTGCTTTGTGCATTTTACATAGATGTTACATTTAATAAACACATTTGAAAAAATAAAATATTTAAATAATTTATAATTAAATAATAGATTATAATAAAATTTAGAGGAGAACCAAAACTTGTGGAATGCAGCTAAAAGCCAGTTTAACGGGAATTCTGTAAGAGTTATACAAGCTTATGTTGGAAAAAAAAATGAAAATTATTGAAATAAGCAAATAATTTAATATGTGAGACTACAGCAAGAGATTATATGTAAAGAAGGTAAAAAGAAGGAAACATAGAGCATAAACCACCAAAATAGAAAATATGTAAACAAAAAATTAATTAAAAAATCAATTAGTTTGAGTTATTTTATAAAAAATGAGTAAAATTGATAAATTTTCAAGGATGATCAAGAGAAAAAGAAACTAGATACAAATAAAAACATGAACTAACTTTAGAAATAAAAAGTAATGCATAAATCATGGCAGATATTAAAAAGATAATGAAAGGGTATGATGAGAAACTTACTGAATGATGGTGTATTTGAAAAATCAGACTATATAAACAAAGGTAGAGAAAAGCAATTCTGTAAAACTAGACTCAATTTAATCAATAACCAATAAATTATTCAGAAACAAAGACATGTTCTAGCTTGAAATCAGAATGTAAGGAGGGAAGTAATAAGAAGTGAGGATGAAAAAACATAATTAATTGAAAATCTGGCAGATGAATATCTATACAAATATTGGCATCTTCCACTTGACTCTTTATTTCTTCATCCCATCCTCATGCATTTAGCTTTAAATCCCAGGTAAAAACCAACTAACCAGCCAAAAACACAATAATAAATAAATAAACAAATATATATATGTATATATATATAAGTAAAAATCTACAAAAAATGTTAAAAATGAAATAACAACTTGAAAAAGATTTAGGATTCTGGCACCAGAGATCAAAGGCACATTCATTTGTGGTTTTTCAGACAACTCAACATCTTAATCAAAGGCTATTAATTGCCCAGCCATGTCACCTGACACTTAATTAACTACCAATATTCTTATTTACAGGAGAGACTTTGCTGCAAATAGACCTACATAAATAGGAATGTGGGAAATCTACATATGTAGGAGCAGAAGAAAACCACAATAGCCACCTGGAAAAAATCAATCTATAAAAATCAGATGCATGAAGAAAATTAAAAGCTTGAAATATAAAAACCAGGATAGACAAAGATTAGAACTGACTCTGGAGGAAAGAAACATTTATCAAGAAAATACAAGATAATTTTAAAATAATGTCACCAACACTAACAACAGCAAATAGCTCACTAATAAAGTTCCTATTTTTAAAAAGTTGTACTTTGATTCATGTGTTAATTTGGAGTACAAGTCTTAGAGTCATCCTTACCTGTTCTCTTTCTCTTATATTCTCATCTGAATCCCAGCAAATCTTACCATTTCTACTTGAAAATATATTCAGAGGCCAATTACTTCTCATAAGCTCCAGAACTACCACCCTATGCAAGATACCATTATCCCTCCAGTAGACCATTTAAATGACCAGTTGGCATTTGGGTAACAGTAATATGAATAATGACTGAACTTACTATAGTATCTGCTTTCCGTAATATGTTCTCTCATCTCAAGTTAATTCTAGATAAGCATTTTCCGATTAGACACAGATAAACTGAATTACACTAGTTTATGTGATGGGAAATAGAAGCTTAAAAGTTTTGAATACGACATTGCTATGTAACTAGGTTAAACCAGGTGAGTAAGTGAAATAGTTTTACTGGCTGAATAGAAATATTTTAGGAGAGAAGGCAAAGGAAAAACATGTTCTGCAGAAATTCAAATACATCATATATAAATGAAGAAAAATGGAGCAGAATAGTCAAGATATTTTTTCTAATCAGAACTATATAATGCATGAATAGATTATTTGGCACCATCATGGTCAAATTATCTATAGTGAGTTAAAGGTTATACATACAGAGATGATAGCATTTCAAAAAGCATCAACAAAACAGGGAAATGCTAGATTTACATCATAAAGGATGCACACCTTGCTGAGCTTTAAGCAGAACAGAAGAAATGCATTTACATGAAAAACTGAAAGACACTCTGTCAATATGAGCAAAGTGATGTGGAAAATTGGAATAATTATCTGGATAATTCAGGACAAAAATGCTAATGAGGTAAAAGAGTTCTTTACAACTTGATTTATCTAGGTCAGCTGTCTACATTTATTAAACTAACTAGACAATTATTCAAGTCTCTATTTTTCTCAAGCTTGAATAGACTTTGGTATTGATTCCTTGTTTGTGGGTTGAAGCAGAAGAGCCTTGGTGCATTATTGACGTTTCCATATTGGATATAGATAATATTCATTTTTAATCTCAGCGTGTACTCAATTATAGTTTAAGTAATACATAAAATATAGTTAAATACTTATACTGTGGTTAAAATAGGGTTGGTAAATACCAGTTTTCAGTTTAGACTCATATTAAAGCATTGTCTCAAGCACAAAGCAAGTTCATTTTATAAGTCTTGCAAACGCTTGACAAAATCATTTAAGATAGGGCTCTGTGTGTTTCAAGTGACAATTTGCAGAATTTTGATTCAATTAATTGAATATTATCAGCTTGATTAAATTTATCTTTTTACACAATACAAATATTGAAAGGTTTTCTTTTGAGAATGGTTTTTTAGGAGTAAATGGATTATAATCATATGTGGCTTCTCCAGATATGTGTAAGAAAAGAATGAAGCAGAAACAATAATAATATTTGGAAATAACCACTTAACATGGGACAGTTTCAAGCATCATGTATCACAAGTAACTGTTAGCCATATATTTTATTTTAAAGACTTGTGTACTGAAACTGGAAGATGGAAGATAGATCTTAAATTCAAATTTCCAAAGACCCTTTGGTTGGAGTTCAACCAGGCAGCAAAAGATTTCCTCCAAGCCTGTTCAGACAATTAAGAAAATAACATAAATACAGTGAGGCACCACATAAAGATGCTTTGGTGAATGATGGACAGCATATATGATGGTAGTTCCATAAAATTATAATGAAGCTGAAAATTTCCTATCAGATAGTAACACTGTAGCCATCTTAATGTTATAGGGCAATGCATTGCCTTTTCTATTTTTAGATATGTTTAGATACATGAATAATTACCACTGTGTCACAATTACCTACTGTTCAGTACAGTTTTGTATCTTAGGAGCAATAGTCTATACCTTACAGCATAGGTGTATAGTTAAGTTATACCATCTAGGCTTGAGTGGGTACACTCCATGATGTTCACACAATGATAAAATCGCCTAACATTTCTCAGAATGTATCCCTGTCATTAAGCAACATATGATTGAGCGTTATGGCTTGACAGACACTGCAAAACAAATGCATGCTTGAAAATATCATTTATAAAGAGCTCTTATATCAGGTGTGGTCCACATAATGTATTATCTTAAGATATATAAGTTGGGAAATTTTTTACAATGCTGATTAAGATGAATAAACCCATAGAGCATAGTTTTGCAACCTTGGCGATATTGATATTTTGGGCCAGATAATTAATTCTTTGTTGTGGGGGCCTGTCTTGTGCATTGCAGGATGTTTAGCATTAGCATGCCTGGTCTCTTCCACTAAATGCTAGCAGGACCCTTCCCCCAAAATATGACAACTGAAAATGTCTCTGGTTATTGACAAATGTCCCCTAATCACTGCCACAGAGGCTACACCTGGTGTTAATCTCAGCACTGCTATACCTACCTACACAACCACTCCAGACCCCTTGTAATCAAGTACAGAACTGGCAATTCCAACAAAATAAGAGCATGTTGCTCCCAGAGGTTGCAGCTTTTCAGCTTTGTCTTAGCTAGAGGATATATCTAAAAACTGAAAGGGAAAATGTGGTTAATAGTGACTCAGCCCTTTAATTGTCTTACACCCTCAAGAGATCTCCCAAAGAAAACAGTAAATACAACTCTGGGTATTAGGGCTTACAGCCATTTTGAGTGAAAGAAACCTTCCTGCTGGGAGATCTCTGGTCAAATTGGGAATATTATATTAGTTAGGGCTCTGCAAATAGAGTGGCTTTCTGCCGATGCTTGGATTTTCCCATAAGATCAAAAGCCTGAACTCTAGAATTCTTAAAAAGAAATTACCAGAGACCTATACTAAAGTCTGAATGGAGTCATTAAGGATGCCTGATTTCCTTGAGTTTCTATCACCTCTTGCTACGGCTGTTGCTTTTTCCAATGACCAAAAAAAAAACAAAAAACACACACACACAAAAAAAATGTGACCTGTTTAAGTGTTGAAAACTGGCCCAAAGGCTGTCATTGTTTTCCTGCAATAAATGCTTCTGTTAGAGAATATCTTGCAGTGAAGCAAGGATTTTTTAAAAATTATAATCTATGTTTTTGCTCTTACAATGCTGGCTGAAAATGCCTGTTAGTACAAAAAAACTATCTTTTGTTATTTAAATTGTCCATATCAAATGACATTAATAAAGACTTTTTTTTCTGATTAATTAGATAAATGGAAAATAATTTTTAAAATGTTTTATATAGAGAGGCCAAAACCAAAACAAAACATCGAGAACAGGGTTTCTCTGCTGCAACACTATTGATATTTTGGAGCAGATAATCATTTGTTACAGGGGAGGCTGTCCTGTGCATTGTAGGATGTTTAGCAGTATACCTGGCCTCTGCCCTCTAGATGACAGTAGCACTACCACCACAGCCCCTTCTCAATTTCCCCTGTTATTAACACTTTAAATAGTGTATACACTTGTTACAATTGATGAGACAATATTCATGATTTTTATTCAGTGAAGTCCATAGTTTACAGTAGGTTTCACTTTTCGTAGTGTGCATTTTAGAGGTTTTGACAAATTCGTGATATAAATACACCATAGTAGTATTGTACAGAGTAGTTTTAATGCCCTAAAAATCCCCTTTGCTCTGCCTGGTCATTTCTCCTCCCCACTTCAAATCTCTGACAATCACTAATATTTTTAAGATATCTGTAGTTTTGCCTTTTTATGAATATCATACAGTTTAAATGTGTATGTAGTATGTAGTATGAACACAGTATGTAGCTTTTTCAGATTGGTTTCTTCCACTTAACAATATGCACTCAAGGTTCCTCCATATCTTTTTCTGGCTTGATAACATATCTTTTTACACTGGAATAATATTTCTTTGTATGGATGCACCAGAGTTTATTTCTCCATTCACTTATTGAAGAACATCTTGGTTGCTTCCAAGTTTTAGCAATTATGAATAGAGCTGCTATACATATTCATGTGTAGGTTTTTTGTGTGGATTTAAATTGACAATTCATTTGGGTATTTATAAGGTAAATGGGTTGCTGGACCATATTTAAGAGTATGTTTAGTTTTATAAGAAACTACCAAAAAGTTTTTCAGTTAGCTGTACCATTTTCACTCCTACCTGCAACGAATGACAGTTTCTACCACTCCATATCTTCACTAACATGTATTGTCAGTATTCTGGATTTTGGCCATGTTAATAGGTGTGTATTGTTATATCATTGTTTTCATTTGAAACTACCTAATAATATATGAGGTTGAACATCTTTTCATATGCTTATTTGCCATCTGTATATCTTCTTTGGTAAGATGTCTGCTCAAATCTTTTATCTTTATTCTAACTTTATTTTTTATTGTTGGGTTTTAAGATTTCTTTGTGTGTTTTGGATACCTGCCCTTTATCAGATGTGTGTTTTGTAAAAATTTTCTCCCAGTCTCTGGCTTGTCATTTCATTTTCTTAACTATTTTGCAGAACAGCAGTTTGTAATTTCAGTAAAGTCCAATTTGTCAGGTTTGTTTTTCATTTATAGATTATGCTTTTAGTCTTGTACCTAAGAAGGCATTGCCAAACCTGGGATCATCTAGATTTCTCCCTATGTAATCTTCTAGGAGTTTTATACTTTTGCATTTTACAGTTAGGTCTCTACTCCATTTCATGTTAATTTTTGTAAAAGGTGTAAAGTCTGTGTCCAGATTCATTTTTTGTGCATATGAATGTCCAGTTGTTCCATCCCAAGTTGTTGAAAAGACTATCCTTTTTCCATTGAATTGCCTTTACTCAGTTGCCAAAGATCAGTTGACTATACAGATGCTCCTTGACTTATGATAGGATTATGTCTTGATAAACCCATCATGTTAACAATATTGTAAGTCAAAAATGAATTTAGCCAGTCATGGTGGCCTCATGCTTATACTCCCTCCCAGTGCTTTGGGAGGCTAGGTGGGAAGATCACTTGAGACCGGAAGTTCTGGACGAGTCTTGGCAACACAGCAAGACCCTGTCTCTATGAAAAAAATTTTTGAAAAAATTAGGCCAGTTTGGTACTTCAGCATGGGCAATAGAGTTAGACCCTGTTTTCAGCAAAGAAAAACATGCATTTAATACCCTGATAAACCCATTGTAAAGTTGAAAATATTAAGTCAACATTGCAAGTAAGAGATCATCTGCTCTGTGTGGGTCTATTTCTGGACTCTGGTCTGTTCCATTGATCTACTTGTCTATTCTTTTGCCAATTCCACACTGTCATAATTATAGTAGCTTTATATAAGTATTGAAATCAGGTACTGTCAATCTAACTTTATTCTCCTTCTATGTAGTGTTAGTTATTCTGGTTCTTTTGTCTTTCTATGTAAACTTTAAATTGGTTTGTAGAAATTCATGAAATCACTAGCTGGGATTTTGATCAGGATTGCTTTGGATCTATAATTCAAAGTAGAAATAAATGACATTCTTTTTGTCCTTGTTCATGGAATATCTCTCCATTTGTTTAGATTTTGTTTGATATATTTCATTAGAGTCTTGTAGTTTTCTTTATATAGAACTTGCACATATTTTGTTCATTTTTGTTAGGTTTTAAAAAGCATGTTTTGTACTTACCAAATATTTGAGCATTTTTCTGTATCTTTTTGTTGTTGATTTCTACTCTAATTCCATTTTGGTCACAGAACATGCTTTAAGAATTTTACTTTTATTAATTTACTAAGTTTTATTTAATTTATAAAACCATTCACTGAAAACTCAGCAAATTACTTATTATTTTTAATTACCCAGGAAACATTTATAAAGGGATACCACATTGTTTCCCTTAGTTTTGTTCTTTTTGGGGTTCATTGTTCTCTGTAATCTGTAGGTTTAGATCTTTTGCCAAACTTGGTACGTTTTCAGCCATTATTTTTTTTTAAATAGTGTTTTGTGTATGCACCACGCTACCTTTTCTTTTGACCTTATGATGACATATAGTCTATATCTATTGAGGTTTTCCCACAGGCTACTGGATCTTTGTTAATTGTTTTTCTATTTATCACATTAGATTTTTCATATTGCTCTCTCTTCTATTGCAAATACTTTCCTCTGTCATCTTTAAATTCACCATTAAGTCCATCAATTGAGGTTTTCTTGTAATTTTGTGGTATATTTACATTTTTCAGCTACAAAATTTTCACTTGATTCTTATTTTTTCTATTTCTTTCGCTGAGACTTTGTAACTTTACATTTATTTTTAGAGCGTTTATCACTACTTGTTAGAGTACTTTCTTAACTCATTAAAGTCTTTGTCTAAATATTTCAATATCTGTGAAATCTCAGTGTTGGTAATTGTTTTTGTTTTTCTCATTTGAGTTGAAATTTTCTCAATTCTTCATATTCTGAATAATTTTGTATAATATTCTATACAGTTGAATGTTATGTTATGCTATTTATATAGAATATTGATATTTTTGTTTTCTTAGAAAGCAATATTTTTGCTTTGCAAACAATTGACCAAGTTGGGCTCAGGCTGAAAGCTCCAACCAGCATTCCCTGAGTTGTGATTCTAATATCAGTTTAGTTTTCTAACCCTTGCAATGCCAATTCTAATCTATTCCATACATTCACCAAGTCTGGGTCCTGGGTGATGTTCTATCAAGTCAGTTTTTAAATGTTCTGTATGTTTTTTAAAGTCAGAACCACTAATGCTCAGCTCAGAGGTGAGTTTATAAACAAGTTTAAAAGGTTTTTCTCCTGAGTTAAACAATTTGCCCTATTGCTGAGGCATATTCCAGTTTGTGGGGCCTACCCTTTTCTCGTTCTTGAGACAAAATCTGGATCTCAATTTATCCCATTCTGCTTCACATTTCTTGAAACTACATCCATATTTAAGACTAAGAAGTAGGAAGATAGAGAGGAAGAAAAAAGTAAATGGGCATTTTTCCCATCCTCTAATGCCCACATTTGTTATTATAAAGACTCTTTCTTTTGCACAGGTATATAAAGAAATAGATCAGGGAGTTGCTGGCAAGATGGCCGAATAGGAACAACTCCCGTCTGCAGCTCCCAGTGAGACCAATGTAGAAGGTGCGTGATTTCTGCATTTCTAACTGGGGTACTTGGTTCATCTCATTGGGGCTGGTTAGACAGTGAGTGCAGCCCACGGAGGGTGACCAGAAGCAGTGGGGGCATCGCCTCACCTGGGAAGTGCAAGGGGTCGGCGAACTCCTTCCCCTAGCCAGGGGAAGCCGTGAGGGACTGTGCCATAAGGGATGGTGCTATCCAGCACCAATACTATGCTTTTCCCACGGTCTTCACAACCTGCAGACCAGGGGATTTCCTCAGGTGCCTACACGACCAGGGCCCTGGGTTTTAAGCACAAAACTATGCGGCTGTTTCAGCAGACACCAAGCTAGCTGCAGTTTTTTTCCATACCCCAGTGGCGCCTGAAACGCCAGCAAGATAGAACGATTCACTCCCCTGGAAAGGGAGCTGAAGCCAGGGAGCCAAGTAGTCTTGCTCAGCTGATCCCACCCCCACAGAGCCCAGCAAGCTATGATCCACTGGCTTGAAATTCTAGCTGCCAGCACAGCAGTCTGAAGTCAACCTGTGACACTCGATCTTGGTCGGGGGAGGAGCGTCTGCCATTACTGAGGCCTGAGTAGGCGGTCTTCCCCTCACAGTATAAACAAAGCCACTGAGAAGGTCAAACTGGGTATGGAAACCCACTGCAGCGTGGCAAAGCTGCTGTAGCCAGACTGCCTCTCTAGATTTCTCCTCTCTGGGCAGGGCATCTCTGAAAGAAAGGCAGCAGCCCCAGTCAGGGGCTTATAGATAAAACTCCCATCTCCCTGGGACAGAGCACTTGGGGGAAGGGGCAGCTGTGGGCGCAGCTTCATTAGATTTAAACGTTCCTGCCTGCTGGCTCTGAAGAAAGAAGCAGATCTCCCAGCACAGCGCTCCAGCTCTGCTAAGGGACAGACTGCCTCCTCAAGTGAGTCCCCAATCCCCGTTCCCCCTGACTGGGAGACACCTCCCAGCAGGGGTTGACAGACACCTCATACAGGAGTGCTCCAGCTGGCATCTGGCTGGTGCCCCTCTGGGATGAAGCTTCCAGAGGAAGCAGCAGGCAGCAATCTTTGCTGTTCTGCAGCTTCTGCTGGTGATACCCAGGCAAACAGGATCTGGAGTGGACCTCCATCAAACTGCAGCAGACCTGCAGAAGAGGGGCCTGACTCTTAGAAGGAAAACTAACAAACAGAAAGCAGTAGCACCAATATTAACAAAAAGGATGCCCACTCAAAAGCCCTATCCAAAGGTTACCAACATCAAAGACCAAAGGTAGATAAATCCAAAAAGATGAGGAAAAACCAGCACAAAAAACCTGAAAATGCCAAAAACCACAATGCCTCTTCTCCAAAGGATCACAACTCCTTGCCAGCAAAGGAACAAAACTGGACAGAGAATGAGTTTGACGAAGTGAAGCAATGAGGAAAGGATTCCCTATTTAATAAACGGTGTTGGGAAAACTGGCAGAAAACTGAAACTGGACCCCTTCCTTACACCTTATACAAAAATTAACTCAAGATGGATTAAAGACTTAAACATAAGACCTAAAACCATAAAAACCCTAGAAGAAAACCTAGGCAATACCATTCAGGACATAGGCATGGGCAAAGACTTCATGATTAAAACACCAAAAGCAATTGTAACAAAAGCCAAAACTTACAAATGGGATCTAATTAAACTAAAGAGCTTCTGCACAGCAAAATAAACTATCATCAGCGTGAACAGGCAACCTACAGAATGGGAGAAAAATTTTGCAATCTATCCATCTGACAAAGGGCTAATATCCAGATTAGCCCTTAAACAAATTTACAGTAAAAAAAAAAAAAAAAAAACCCTATCAAAAGATATGAACAAACACTTCCCACAAGAAGACATTTATGGGGCCAACAAACATATGAAAAAAATCTCATCATCACTGGTCATTAGAGAAATGCAAATCAAAACCACAATGAGATACCATCTCACACCAGTTAGAATGGCAAGCATTAAAAAGTCAGGAAACAACAGGTGCTGGAGAGGATGTGGAGAAATAGGAACGCTTTTACCCTGTTGGTGGGAGTGTAAATTAGTTCAACCATTGTGGGGGACAGTGTGGCGATTCCTCAAGGATCTAGAACGAGAAATATCATTTGACCCAGCAATCCCATTACTGGGTATATACCCAAAGGATCATCAATCATTCTGCTATAAAGACACATGCACACATATGTTTATTGCAGCACTATTCACAATAGTAAAGACTTAGAACCAACCCAAATGCCCATCAATGATAGACTGGATGAAGAAAATGTGGCACATATACACCATGGAATACTATGCAGCCATAAAAACAAATGAGCTCATGTCCTTTGCAGGGATGTGGATGAAGCTAGAAACCATCATTCTCAGCAAACTAACACAGGAACAGAAAACCAAACACCGCATGTTCTCACTTGTAAATGGGAGTTGAAGAATGAGAACATATGAACACAGGAGGGGAACATAACACACCAGGGCTTGTCAGGGGTTTTCGGGCAAGGAGAGGGATAGCATTAGGAGAAATACCTAATGTAAATGACGGTTTGATGGGTGCTGTAAACCACCATGGCACAGGTACACCTTTGCAACAAACCTGCACGTTCTGCACATGTATCCCAGAACCTAAAGTATTATAAAAAAAAAAAATGCACATACGAGGATGTACAGAAACGAATAAGTGGTGAAATAAACTATGCAACATAAAAAAAGAAATAGATCATAGATAGATGAATGTACAGAGAGATAAACTGTTCGATAGCAAAAACCTAATCAATTCAAATATATTTATTCAGTACCTAAATTGAGGAAAGTTTGGGAATATTTTTCCCTTTTGAATAGGGTGTTAAGAAAATTTCCTTCTTAGTTTCTTTTTGAAAATATAAGTATTACTTGACCACTTATTTTGTGACCAAAACCTTATGCATTTGTATACACAGCTCTCAAATATATTTTTATAAATTTGCATATTTGCAAAATGCTCCAGATCTCTTAACATAGTCCTTTCATCAGTCTAACAAGGAATGTTTGTAGATTAATGGCTACAACTCAGCATTTCAAATGACTTTCTATGCTACATGGTAGATTCTGTAAACGACCTTACTGATGCCTACTTGCTGAAATTAAAGCCAATAAGTGTGTAGAGATAGTTTTCCCTGTGCTTTGAGGGATAGAGAGGAACTGTCCCTGCCCTGAAGGCAATTGAAGTCTAATAATTTACATAATCACATACAGAAACTGTGATTGAGAGTAATCGGTGCCGTAGGAGAGGAATACAGACAGTCTGTGAGCTGTTCAGAGGACAGGCTTTGATTTCAAGATTAATAGGAATGCTAGACTCATAGTATTTCATTCATGTAATCTTTATCAAATAATTGTTGAACACCTATTATGCGCTTCAGCAGTGAGATCAGTGGTGAACAAGACATACACTTGTTTTATGAACTTCCATTCCAGTACACAAGGGCAAATAATAAACATGAAAACCGTAACAAAGTGATTGCAGGGAGCAATGAATGCTGTGCAAGATGAGGAATACCACAGCTTGAGGAATGGAAATCATGTTTTTATGAGAGAGAGGAGCTTTCTTTAGACTAACTCTAAATGAATGATGTCTTTTAGGAGGTTATATTTAAATTACATGAAGGAAGCATCTTACCTTAGGAGGAGGGGAGAGGGAAGAGTAAGTATTAAAAGCCAAAGGTAGAAAGATCTTTAGCTTTCTCAAAGAAGAAGATGTGCATAGATGAGGGAGAAGATAGCAGGAAATGGAGTCAGAGAAATGGGTCTGGGTCGGCTTACCAAGAGCGTAGTACCTGTGGTGAGGTGTTTGGACTTCATTCTGAGTGCCGTTACCTTTGAATGATTTCATTTATATGTCTGAGCAGACACACGTGGACACTATTGCCCTAGACAAGCAAACTTCTTTTATGTATTTGCTGTACTTGTCTACCTGATTACTTTTGCTCTCAGTATCTCTCCTCAGAAGAGGCCAATATAATAAAGTAATTAAGAACTCGGGCTTTGAAATAGATACACGTGGGTTCAAACTTTGACTCTAACCTTGTTAGCAGAGAGGTAGTTTGGGCTTTGGTCAAGCATCTTCATCATAGACTTCTTATCTGTAATGTGAGAAATGTAATACTTCACAGAATTTTTGCCAGAAACAAATTTAAAGTAATTACAGAATACTTAAAAATAACATGTATAAAATTTATAGTATTTATTATTACATTATTGTAAAATGTTCTTCCCTTCATTATATCTTTCAAGGGTTTTCTCCAAGATGTAGTCCAATTGAATCAATCTCCCTCTTACCTGCTTCCAATTTTCATCTTTATTTAAAATTGCTACACTAAATTTTAGAATATTATATAGTGTGAGTAGTTATTTGTCCCACTATAACTTAAGCTACTTAATGGTGATGACTGCATTTCACATCACTGTAACACCTGTACCAAAATATGCCGAAGGTCCATTTAGCAAGCAAATAAATAAGTTTATTTAATTTTGGTGAACAAAGAGTTGACATGTAGATATTAATATATTTAGATATTTATATTTCTTTTATCTATTGAGTGATGTGTCTTAGATAAAAATATAGCCCATGTTTGTTATCAAAATTGACACTTATTTAGCTGAATTTTTCTTAATAAATGCACTCACTATGCAGTCCCTTTAAGCAGTGAGCTCATCATGACATACACACTTTTGTTGTGGTCAGAAAAATTTCATTTAGACATCACTTTTGATTTGAAAACTATTTGTACATCAACTTTCAGGTATACAGATAAAATGAGATTGTTGAGGCAGGTCTTGATAATATCATGATTCATTTATGAAAAGACACCTTTGTTTGGAAATGTCTCTGTGTGCAGAATCCTTTGGAAACATTAAAACGCAAATGTCAACCAACCTCTGAGGAGATAAATTAAATAATGAACTGTTTAGGTATTTAGAGAAGCAGACGTGGCAAATCTTTCTGAGATAATGATAAAATGTGTGTGATTACTTTATTTGTTTTTATTTAAGCTATGTTAAATTACTTTAAGGATAGTATTTCAAAAGGCTCCAGAAGCAATTGTCTTTAAAAGTCAAGATCCCTAATATCAGAGAAGATTTAATAATAAATCTTTATGCCACTAAGTGCCCAGAGTAATAGTTTAAATTCTAGACATCTAATAATTTTAGTAAACCCAAGCTCACAAAATCAAAAGGTACATTTTATGTAATAGTTCAATAAAACATAAACTTGCAATTGATAATTGCATGACTTCATGTACCACATAGGTAAGCTTCTACCAGAGATTGAAGAAACAGCCATGTTTCATAGCCTTCAAACAGAAATACAAATGATGGAAGAAGGGGTAAGTTTATAGATTCTTTATTTAAAAAAAGGGGGATATTCTACTTATGTCAGTGCTAATTGCTAAAACATGACTGTAAGCTTAAAATGAGCTGAGTAGCCTATTAATTATAACTTCATTCACATTTTGTCTTTGCTTATGTCCATTTCAAAGCTTATTACCCTTAAATATCAGCCTTTGAACAACTGTTTTCTGAAGGCTGGATTTACTAGTATATAGAATGCAAAAGCTCGCTTTCTGGAATCTCCATACCCCTGTCTTCTCTGTCAATTCATTATCTCTGCAAACATTAGCATGTTTATTATTTCTTTTTGTTGATGCAAGGGAACATTTTGAACTGGCTTCTTACTTGCAACTCTTGCTTCAAATAGGGATGTTTAGTTTGTCTCACCATGACATTTCTTGATGTTTGGGAACATCAAATATGACCTCAGGAGTAGCAGCTGTTTTGGTTAAACTATACTTCATGTCTCTTGAGCTACAAAGGCACTTTGTCTCAACTTAGGACATAACTAGATGGGACATAGATAACTGTGACTAAATAAGGCAGCCTGAGGGGTTCCAAAATCTGGGGTTAGATGATTATTGTGAAGTTGTATGTGTGGAGAAAAATACTAAATATTAGGTGTTAGAAGAAAAGCCACACACAGAGGTGTGACACTAAAAGGCTAGATCCAGACAAACAGTAAGTGCCAGTGTCAGTGATTGGATTATTCTAAAGTAACAAAGGTGGAGATCACGGAAGACCTGGAGGAAGAGTAGATAGCTAGCCTTCAAGCAATATACCCGCAGCCAATGACCTTGGCTTGTTAATTCACTTGTTTACTACTGAGTATTTACTATTTGCCAGATCCTATACTAGTACCTCAAAAGTTTGTTGTGAGCAAGGTGGACATGATATTTGCCTTCACAGCAGCAATGTTTTAGTGAAGAAAATAAACATAAATTATACATATTTATTACATAACTAATCGGTGTGAGAGTATTTTGAATAAGTGCCATACTGTGCTATGAGACCATATGGCAAGAAAATATAACCTAGTCAACAGAATTGTAGAAAGCTTCCCTGAGGAGGTGATATTTAAGCAGCCTCCAATCTGTAGGAAAGAGGCTGTCAAGTGTAAGACAGGGATGATTCCATAGAGATTGGGCCACTAGGTCATTTTTAAGACACAGATTCAGGAATGGGATAGGCGGAAGCCAAGTTTATAAAAATTGAAGCAGAAGGACAAAGTTAGTTCAGCTGTAGGAATGATTTGATGCCAAGCCAGAGAACAAGGTTAATATAATTTAGAATCTTTTGTCCTTGCTGTCCTGTCTTTACACAACTGCCTCACAGCTCCATTTCTAACCACCTTAAACTGAGAATTAATCCTAGACACTGGAAGAATGATGAAATTAAATGACTTCAGCTTTAGGAAGAGGAGGGTGCAACAGTCTTGGATATTCTAGCATCTAAGGAGAATTTTTTTTCTTGTTACATGTGAAAGACATTATCTCTCTAGAATCCATGGTATGAGGACAAAGAGATACTTAGGGTGTCCTACTATTCTAATCAGTTTTTTAAAAATCAAGAAATGTTTATTGAGTGGCTATGATGTGTCAGACACTGTGCTGTTCTTTGTGGGGATATAATAGGAAACAAGATTAGTTTTTATATTGAGATATTTATACTCTGGTATAGGAGACAGTCATTATAGTAGACTCCAACACATGATATTATAAGGTTGGACTCTAAAATCTCACACAGAAAGACAAATAATCTAGACCTACAGTGTCAAGAATAATTTCCTGGTAAAAGTAAAGTTTACACTGAGATAATTAACAAATAAATAATAGATGATTATTGAAACAATAGGATTACCCAGGAGAATGCATGGAGTGAAAAGGAAACAGTGCTAAGGAAGGTTAACAAAAGGAAAGGAAAATGGCTTTGATGAAAATGGCTTTTATAAAATAGGTGGAGTGAGGAAAGCTAAAAAGTTGCCAATGAAGGATTAACATAAAGACTAATAGGATAGAAAAATGTGCGTGTTCCCTCAGTCACTGAGTTCCCTCAGTAAGTGGTAGAACATTTGGGGAAGGGCTCCCTGCTTGTCAGTCAATACTGGTCATGGTTGACATACCTAGTGTCCAAACTACCTTAGATGCCAAGCTCAGGTGCTGTTAACTTGCAATAGAAAGATGTTTGGTTTCAGTTGTTCAGCCTCTCTAAAGGCATCACATAGACATTTGCTACCAAGATCCTGCCATACCCACATGCTACGGGATTCAGAAAACCTTTGTGCCTTTCATAGTTTTGGAAGGAAAATTCTCTGAAACTTTCCCATTTAGAAATTTTTGCTTTTCCTTCTGAGATAATTTTGTATAATTCCATAACTCTTACAAACAAATATTGGAAGGGACTTACCTTTTACATCTGGGAATATCTTCTTTGGAACTAAATACTCTGCAGTCTCTGAGTGGAAAAAAAAATTGACCATCTTGTTGGAATCAGATTGTTTATAGAAACCTGAGCAAAATCCAAGTTAATATCTCAATAAATCATCCTGCCACATTAGTCATCCATTGTGCAAGTTTCATATCTTCCCTATACTTTACACTGTTGGCCTTTTTCTGCGGAAATTAGGGACAACTTATTATTTTCATTAAACTACATTTCATATGTATTAAAGACACTTTGACCATTCCAATCTCATATGTTCAAAGTCCAACCCCTTTAAGGATTATATTTCTCTAGTAACTTCTGTTTTGTGGTGTGAAATCCCCTAAATTTCTCTTCTCTTAAAAATATACATAGTTCCTATGCACTGAAAGCACTAACAAGTTTAAATAATTAATGTGTGGACTCAGCGTAGTTTTATGTTCACCTAAATTAATTAACTATGTTGGCATTTTGAATAAAAGGAACATAGAGACTTGGTATTTTTAACCATAACTGAAGGAGCAGCTGCTACCACTATAGGAAATTCATCTAAATGCCATCTCTGAGGAAGTTAGATACACTCATTATCATGAGGAAGATTTTTTGTGTGTGTACAGAAGTCTTTAAAGAAATCAGTCATTTCTCACGAACGGTCTTATCCTTTAGTTTATTTGCCTATACTGCACCACTACTAAGCTTGTAGAAGATGGTATTTCTGAAGTGAATAATTTGTTTTTTCTCTTTGGGTTTCTGAATATGACTAGAGGTTGTATAAGTTCACTGGGATTTCTGTTTACCTCTAATAGCCTCTTCAATTTCTTCTGCCTTAGAATAAGATAATAATAAACAAACCTACTCTGTCTAATTCATCTGCCACAAGAAAGTTTTAAACAAATGCACCCCAGTAGTTTGAAAAACAATTAATAATTTCCAGCCACTGGAAAGTGGTCGCATCATACTAACAGACATGTTTAGTTCAGCTGGCCAGATCATTTAATTTAACCATTGAATTTAAATATTTGTCAGTATTAAAAACTTCAGATTCCACATGAAAAAAGTCTGAAAATTTAAACTAGCATTAAAAATAAGATTTGGCATGGTGTTTTGATAAATATGGATTTGAATATGGCAAGAGTAAATTGGAGCTAAGTAGCTCCATTTAAACAGAAGACTTCCATTCTGTCTGGTTCAGAAAGAAATTGGCTTAGCTATCATGACAAACTACTTTTAACAGTAGACTATTAAAAAATGAAAACAACAGCAAAACGTTGTCACTTGGTTTATGGTGGGGATTAGTGTTTGTAAATCCACCTTTTCGTCTCTTCATAATGATCCTAAGTAAAGCTCTGAGACATCCCCCATGGAATTCGTATGTGTCGAGAATATAATTTGAAAACCTTTGTATTGGTAAATATTCATGCAAATAAAAATAAAACCACCAGTTTGTATTTTACATGTTGTTTGGAAAAATACCCAAGGACCTTTAAAGCAATGTTTCATGCTGAATTGTATGTGAAACACTATTCTTATCCTATAAGTCTTAGCACCTCTATAGTGACTTTCTCTTATGGCACACTAGTTAGAGCTATCTTTGTTCTTTCTTGCTTCATTTGTTTCTATAGTTCAACACTTGCAATTTTGATTTTTGTATAAAATATTGAGCTAAAATATACCCATCAAGAGATCAGATATCTTACTTACTAAGAAATTTGCTGAGTCAGCTGAGTCGTTTGTTTCCTGCCATCCAAAACAGGTTTCGCTCTTTGAGCTAGATGAAAATATAACTTTATAATTCAGGATCTAAGCTTGGTCTAGTGTGCACAAGAGAAATATTCTGTCTGAGGTCACTATGATGAGTTTACATTGAAAATATGTACACATAAAAAGTGGAAACCAGCTTGCTGAGTCCTGTGTTTTTCTTCATCTATGTTTTGCAGTATTTTAAATTATATATCTACATAACAGTGCTGCAGATTTCAAGTAACTTTTATAGTTTTTCCTATTTCTGTATTTAATATTTTTCCCCTTATCTCTAATTGATATAATCTAGGAGAGCTTTGTTGTCTATGTTTGTGCTCTGAGACTTTCAGGGAGAAGTAGTTATGAAGAATCTAACAAACACATAAGTACAGAACGTAAGAATGTGCTGCTACCAGGTTTTGGCCTTTTTATAACCTTACAATATCTAAACTCCCCTTTTCTTCCTGCCTTTGGCCAAGAGAGCAGATGGATAATTACACCCCTCAAAAGATAAATTAAAGAAAGAATTTGGACCAACTGGGTGACTGAAATATACTGCTAATGGAGGGTTGTGGAGAAATGGCTAAATAAGAGTCTCAAATGACCTTATTTTCCTCCTGGTGACAGTGCTTTTCAGATTAAAAGCTGTTTTCTTTTATTGAAATAGAATAGGGCCAAACATTGAACCTGCTTTGTAAGACATACATCAAGAGAGAAAATATTTCACCACAATGACATGACCTGACATTTTAAAGCAGATAACAAATGACATCTTGTCAATGGCATCAATTTATTATTCTCTCTCTTGTACCTTGGTGCCACAGCAGGATACACATTCCTTTTAATCATGGGACTGTGTTAAACAAATTTTTACCAGCAGAGACTATAAAATGCCCCTCATCGTTTCCAAGTATCCTGACCTCTTGGTTTTCCCCACTGCAGCATATAAAGACAAAGGTTATGCTGAATTTTTCATCATTTTATTCAATTTCATATCCAATTATGTGAGGGTCTTCCATCACTTACATGGGTGTATATGCTATAACACGAAGTGCCACACATTAATCAGACTCTTTCTATCCAGCAGGCACCAGTGCTAAATCACATTACTCTAAAAAAAAAAAAAAAGAGAGAACATGAAATAGATGCAAATGTACAGAGAGGATGCTCCCTTTTGTCACAATAGGAAGTGACTTGTGAGGGTGGCCTTCCCATGAAGACCAAGAGAGTCTCAAAGTGCATTTTGTTTTTCATGTTTTCAACCACATTCTTCCCTAAAAGGACCCTCTTCTCCCACTTGCTTGAATATCCCTCTGCCAGTTTATATCATAGAGCCTACTACTTTGAACACTGCCCTGGGCAATGACTTTCTAGTTGAACTGTTGTAACTAATCGGCCTGTAAGCTGAAAAATGACCAGCTTGACATTCACTCAGCCTTTTCAGCAATGAAAATCTCACTTTCTTTCAAGTCTCTTTCAAACATACAGAACCAAGACCTTAAATGCTGAATATTCCTAACAGATGACATTAAATTTGTGGGTCTGAGAGAGATAGAAAGGATTATATTACAAAGTAGTCTTAATGTTCTTTGGAATTAGTAGCATTTTCTTAATATTATTTTAAATTGTATTTAGGCTGCAGTTTCAAACACCATCATGAAGATGCGTTACATTTGGTTTCAGAAGAAATATACAAAAAGTACACTATGAAAGTTAAATAAATGTCTTACTGAAAAGCTGATGGAAAAGACTAGAAAATTTTCCATTTACACAATGTGGGATTAGGCTTGTAGTCTAAAACAAACAAGAATTTAAATACCACTGCAACAGCTTTCTAATTATGTGAGTTTGGGGAAGTTGCATAACCTTTTAAAGTCTCAATTTGTTCCTTTACAAAATAGTCATAACATTATTACCTACCTTATAGAATTTGAGAGGATTAAATGAGCTAATACGTATAAAACATCAAGCACAGTGGCTAGCAGTGCTAAGCGCTCAATAAATATTAGTTTTCATTATTATCATAATGAAATTCTAAGGCATGCCTAGAATAAAACAAAATAAAGCAAAACAAAAGGTAGTTGTTACCCTGACTTTAGGGAACTGACTGGGAGAATAATCTCACTTGCCCTAAGTTCAAATTGAGGATTTAGAAGTTTTGTTGCAGAAAATATATAATCATACAGAAGAAAGTCTTTCCTAAGAAAATTTCAGTAGACAGCCTGAGGAACAAGTTAAAACCAAAGTTCTTCGAAGGTTAACTAAAAATAGTGAATGTAGAGGTGTCAATGCCATTCCATATCAATGAGTGGCATTTTTACTCCACATAAGAAACATGTAAAAGGTTTTAGAAATCTATGCATTTTTAGGAATATTGTATTGATCTAGCTTTGACTCTAAAAATGTATAAGAAATACATAATCTTAATTCACACAGATGCAGACTCTAGGAGAAATCTGATGTGATGGTTTCATTCATTCCAGGTTTACAAAATGATCTGAAATTGTTATAATCTTTTTAGTTTCAATTCTAATATTTTGTTGTAAAATGAATTGATTTGAGGAGAGGAAGTACATGTAAAGCAAAATTTAAAAATATTTTAGTAACTCATGGGAAATACTCCTTTTATAAATTAGCTTGATCTATCCATCATAGCCCTAAAGAAATGAAGGTGTTAAGTTTCACATTATTCACTCTTTTGTGAATGTAACATATACTCTTATCCTTATACTTTTAGTTTTCAGAACAAAAGGGAAAATCCTGAAACCAAATAACTGGGTGACTACGAACTAAAATATTTTTTACCTTAAGCTACACAATTCAGAAACAAGTGATCATACATTAGTTGAATTAAAAAATAAAAACTTTCATTTTAACATGTTTCTTAGGCTGACTGTTAAAAGACTAGGAATTTTTAAGTGTATTTCAAGTTGCACATGGGCATTCCTAACATAATTTGGATTCAACTGATCCTTTCACTAGAAATGTTAATATAGGTACGTAGGTAATTGAAATATTTCAGAGGGTTTTTACTTGTTTTTATTAACTGTTGCTTTGCAATAGTGAGCATCATTTACCAGGGTTAATAAGAGTGCACAGACCATGAGGCAAGATAGACAAAGGATTCAGGATAAAGGAATTATTGAATTGCTATTGAGGTATAGTTTATGTAATTTATGTTTTGCACCAACTTACACTTCATATTGAATATAGAAAAAGGACAAATTATTATTATTTTTCTATAATAAACCTTGATATGCTCTACCTTTTTCTGTGGTATGGCCTTTTTTCTTGTTAATTAGATTTTGTAACTTAGGTTCATGTTTTTCCTCATCCCTATTCTTTATTTACCTAATGTATTTCTGCTCTTATTTTCTTTTATTTCTTTCTCTTCCTTTTCATTCTATCTGAAACAAGGAACCTTCAATGTCACAAAACTTGACATGGAGATTATTGCCATAATCTATTAGCTTGCTTTGCTGATTTGTCTGGTTCTCATTTCAGACCGTGTGACTTATTCTGCTTAGCTTTTACCTTTTGTTAAGTCATCAGTAGATACATATTAAGTAAAATCTTGTATTTTAGACAATGGAATGATCAGAAATACAGTTTGTAGGCCTACTTTATATTGTTAAGTTAGGTAATATTTAATAAAATGATACATGATAGTACACGAAAGTAACTGGCTAATGAAAAACGTTTATTACGTTTTACTACAACAGTGTCTTCAATGAAGAGGAGAATGAGAAAAGCCTACTAAGATGAAGCAGCGCTAAAATAAGCCTAAGGACTTTGACAATTAGAGTAGAATCGGGAGTCCATTCTGGGGAAGATGGTGAGAAGAAAGCATAAACAAAAATAAAGGGGCAAAAATATGTTGTACCCCAGGAACAAAGTGAGCTGACCAACTGGCTGGCATAGGGTACTTGGGGTGACTGAGAGTTGAATAGGTACAGCTTTGGATACTAACTAAGGAGACCTGGACTTTATTCTATAGCCAACTGAAATATTTTTCTTGGGAAAATTTCATACCCAGAATCTTGTTTTGGTTTAATTAAAGAGAGGACAGAATAAAGAGGGAGAGACAAATTAGGGAAAACATTAGTATTTTTTCAGCATCTCCTATAGTTTTGATTAGTTTATCAAATATTACTGAATTAGGGAATGAAGCTACAAAATGGTAATATGTAATTGTTCTTTCTCGCTAGAAAAACACAAGTTAATGAAACAGCAGACACATTATTTTAATGTACTGGCACTTCTGCAGTAGAATCATGTATACAATATGTTCCTGAAACATACTTGTGTTTTGCAGAATTACATATTAAAAAAGAGGGCTTAAAGGAAAAATAAAATTGTGCAAACTGTGCAAAGCCTGTGTAACTTTGAAACCAGAGCACTAACAAAAGCAATAACAATCTTAATAAAAACAGGAGCATAGCTATATCTCCACTATTTACCTGGTGCACTTCACATTTGTACCCAGTAACAAAGTCAAGTAAGACTTCACAGACTTAATCTTTGGGCTCATGCTTTTTTCCAAAATCATTGAAAACATTCACCTATAACAGAGACCAGATGCATCAATATTAAAAAAAAAAACTTACCTAAAAAAATCTGCTCTTTAACATAAGAGAAATTACTTCACAGTAATTTCATCTGTAAGTTCAAATTGACTAGATAACTTAATATCGTGGGAAGTATGGCAATTACTGAGGCAACTAACCCCATGCCTAAAATAAGTCACTCCTTGGGTTTTCAGGTTTTTTTCTTAAGCTTTTCATATATTACTAACATACTTTCTGTAATTGTGAGAATGTTTGACCTTGATCTCTTCAAAATATTAATAGCCTTTGAAACGTTATGAATGAACCAACACTATATTGACCTCTGCATTATATTAACCTCGTTTTCTTAGTAATCACAAATGAGCTGATCTGCATTAAAGAAACACAAATTGTAGGAGAACAGATAAAAATATATGTCTTTGAATAGAGCTAGAAATGACCTCAGGGTAACATAGAGATGGGCTATTTGATTTAACTCAGTGTCATTGGGAAGGGATCCTGGAAGAGGTGACATCTTAACCAAGTCTTGAATAAGTAATAGTTGATCAGGTAAAGATGGTGAGAAGTGAACTCTTAATGGAGAGGAAATTGGAGCTCAGAGAGGTTGCGTAAGTTGCCTAAGACTGCAGAGCTAGTAAGTTTTTAGAGCTAGTATTTGAGCACAAGCAAATTGTTTCAAATGTACAATCTTCATGATTATGCTATATTACCTTTTCTTATGCTTAGTATTTAGAATATATTTCCATAGATCAGGTGAGGTTTGAGGGTCTGAATTATATCACCGGTGCTAGGAATGGAGAAGACATTACGATTGGAGAAAGGTTTAGTAAGCTAGTTATAGAGGATTTGGCCATTGATTCAATATAGAGGTGACAAAGGGAAAATTAGTTTCTGATAAGGGCAATAACTGTTGCAATGGCAACATCACTAACTAAAATTTTGAATAAAAAAAGAGGAAGAGGTCTTAAAGAAGGGTGTGAAATTCTCTTTTGGACATGTCAAAGTTGCTGGGCCTGTGGAAGAGCTGAATGAAGTGTAGCTTAGTCATTGAGTAAAGAATTGTATATGTAGCACTGGAGCTCACAGAATGAGTTGAAGATTGGAAATATAAATGTATAATGAGTAATCATTTGCATACAAATGATTGTTCAAAGTATAAAAACACATGAGATTTCACTCCAGGATAGTACAGGTCAACACCTAAGCATCAAGCAGAGATTGAGCTCATAACAAAGAATATACAGAAATGGTTCTGGAAGAAGATATGAGTAGGGTCACAAAAGCCAAAAGAAAATAAAATTCAAGAAGACTGGTGTCTCAGTCTATTTGGCTGCTATAACAAAATACCATAGGTTGGGAGGCTTGTAAACAACAGAAATTTATTTGTCACAGTTCTGGAAGCTGGGAAATCTAAGATCAGTGGGTCAGCAGAATGGGTGTCCACTGAGAACCCACTTCCTGCTTCATAGATGGCCATCTTTTTGCTACAGCCTCACATGGTAGAAGTGAAAAGGATCTCTCTGGAGTCTCTTTTGTGAGGACACTAATCCCATTGATGAGGGCTCCACTGTTGTGACCTAATCAACTTCCAGAGGCCTCATCTCCTAAAACCATCACCTCTGGGGTTAAGATTTCAACATATGAATTTTGGGGAGACACAAGCTTCTAGTTCATTACAAATGATAACGTAAATTCAGTGGAGAGGGCTATTTTAAAATATAGAATTAAGAAAGTATGTAGAGTGAATTTAGAGTATCCTTTAAACAAATTTTCTCTCAAAGTACAAAAGAGGGCTAGAAAGGTAGCTCTAGTTTAGGTGTTAGGATCCACAAAGGACATTTTAGGATGAGAAAATTCAAATAAGTTTAAAGACTAAGGCAAAGAGCTAAGTGGTCGTGGATATTTTGCAGAGAAAAGGCATTATTAATGGAACGAATTCCTAAATAAGATAGCAGAGGTGACGGGTGGACATTGAACAAAGGGAGGGACAGCTCTAAGACAGGGAACAAGGGAGTAAGAAAATGGGACATAGGCTGTTCAACTTATTAGTGTGAAGGTAGGAAGGGAGACGAGATAAATTAGACCTGGCAGACTCAATGGTGCAGGCCAGTGAAGGCGACAATTACACCTGAGACTAAATGAAATGAGAGCAGGTAAGATAGTTTATAGCGAATAGTGAAGGTTCAAAGCTGCTCTTCACAACAAAGGGAAGAAGTCAGTTTAAAAAGTTCGTAAATTATTGTGGAAAGCCTAGCTACCCTTTGTGACTCTGAACTTATAGAATGTGTGATATTTTTTAGTAATTCTTAGCAATTACTTAGTAATTTTTAGTAATCCTGAGGTGGAAGAAAGGAAAGAGCCAATTATGAGGATAGTTGAAATTATCGACTTTCCTAATTGGGTGCCAGATTTTGTGCTTGGTCTTCAGATAAATTATTTCAGGTTACCCTCACATCAATCCTGTAAGGCAACCATTTTTTTTTTCTCTCTATTTTACAGATGAGAAAACTTTAAGTTTTGAAAATTTGATGAAGGTCACACAGAAAGTCTAACTCAGATTCATTTGAACACCATAATCTATGTTCGTTGCATCACAGCTAGTCCTGGAAATGGAGAAACCAAATGTTAACCTATGCTGGGAAAATAATAGTGTAAGTGGAGTGGAAAAATGTAGATGTAAGCCCAGTAGAAGGAGACTCTTTGATTCAATTTATATGGGAAGTGAGGGAAAATACAACAGATAATGCGCATATTTTTGTTGCAGGCCTTGAGAAAATGGTGATGACTTGTCATCAATCAGAAACATAGCCAAGAAATCTAGCTCTAGAAAAAGATTCCATTTTAATATGCCATATTTGAGGCCATAATAGTGCATGTGACTGGAAATATCCAGATAGCAATTAGATGTTTGGAACAAGAGTTTGAGAGAGATATAGTTGGACATAAAGACTTGTGTCTCATTTTCTTTGAGAGAATAAAATCTCTATTGTAGATAATAAAATAAGAAAAAAGAGAAAGGCCAGAAAAGATTAAAGAGCCTTGCACCACATAATGATATTTTGGTCAGCGATGCACCACATATTTGATGTTGGTCTCATAAGATTATAATGAAGCTGAAAAACTCCTATTGACTAGTGCTATATTATTGAACCTGACCTTGTCAGGATGAATAGGCTTAGGCTAATGTGTATGTGCCTTCGTTTTTAACAAAAAAGTTTAAAAAGTAAGGAAATGTAAAACTTCAAGTAAGAAATAGATTATAAGGATATAAAGAAAGAAAATACTTTTTTGCAGACATAAAATGTTTTTGTGTTTTAAGCTGAGTGCTACTAAAAAAGAGTCAAAAGTTTAAAAATTAAAAAAGTTTGTAAAGTAAAAAAGTTACAGAAAGCTAAAGTTTATTATTGATAAAAAATACTTTTAATATATTTAGTGTAGTCTATATGTGGTATTTATAGTGTCTACAGTGGTGCACAATAATGTCTTAGGCCTTCACTGTAACTTACATCTCACTCACTGACTCACCTGGAGCTACTTCTAGTCCTACAAGATTCATTCACATTAAGTGCCCTATACAGGTGTACCATTTTTTATGTTTTATACTGTGTTTTTTTTAGTACATTTTATATCTTTAGATATATTTAAACACACAAATTCTAACTATTTTGTTACAATTGCCTACAGTATGCAGTACAGTAACATGCTGTTAAGGAACAATAGGAATAATAGGCTGCACTGTACAGCCTAGTTGTGTCATAGGCTACACCATCTCAGTTTGTGTAAATACACTCTATGATGTTCACACAATGATGAGATTGCTTAAAACATTTCTCAGAACATATCCATATAATTAAACAGCATATGACTGTACATACAAATTTGAATGGCATACATTCAAATTTATAAGACAGTAAAAACATAGAAAACAAATACCCAAACTAGTAGAAGGCGAACTAAAAGAGGACAGTGCCATGTAAACTGAAAGAAGTGATGTTCGGAAACTGTTCCTTAGAACCAGAGAAAAGGAAATGAAATGAAGATTTTGATGTGTCAGTATTTTCATTATTTGAGTATCTCTTGACTTCAAAAAGAGCATTCTCTTTTGGAGATGTTATAGGAAGAGAATCTGGACTACAGGCTTATGTGTATATTCATGCATAAATATTGTTCTTTTTGCTTAACAGACAAATATTATGGTCACTGCTATAGTTTGTATATTTGTCCCTCTAAACCTCATGGTGAAATTTGATCTCACTGTTGGAGATGGGGCTGGGATAGGAGATAGGGATCTTACTGTGTGATATCTGCACACATCAGCTTGCTTCACCTTCTGCCATGAGTGGAAGCAGCCTGTGGCCTTCCCAGAGGCAGATGCCCAATCTTGAACTTTTCCAGACATCAGAATTGTGAACCAAATAAACCTTTTTTTAATTACACAATCTCAGATATTTTTTTATTATAATCCTCAACCGACTAAGACAGTCACAAATTGCAAAAATGTAGCTTTTAAAATATAGCTTTTTCTAATTTCCTTACACTGGGGTACAAACCTGCTTAATGACAAATGAATTACCGTCGGTTCTTTAGCAGTTTTTCTTTGTCATCACAAAGAAATCTCTCATTTATTTTCAGTTTAAGTCAGCCTAATTGGCATTTTCTGTCCCCAAAACCCTCTTGTCTTTCATCCAGCTTCCATTTCTAAAATCCAGGGGACCTGACTCTTGTCAGCAGTACAGCTGGAAGGGCTGATCCTATCTCACCCTCACCTGAGGCCCATATTTCTTTCAGATTTAGCCTGCTCTGGTGTAGTTCTGTGTGTTGATGTTCAGCCTCTGTAGCTCTAGCCATGTCTTCCTAGGCCTGGCTGTGGAGGAATTGGTGGATCTATCCCTTTCTTGGTACTAAATGTACTCAGCCATCCATGGTTATTCTTATAGTCTATACGTCTCTCTTTACCAGCTCTATCCAGGAAAGGAAAGGTGATAGCCATGTGAGTTAAGATGTGAGGTAGAGACCAATCTTCTACATTGCCTCTAAGTCTATTTTCATTTCTTTCCTTTTATTTTTCCTGCCCCTCTTAGCTATAAGCATTCTTTATGTAGAACTGGGATTAAAACAGCATCTCTATTCCTCTTAGCTATGAGCATTCTTTACGTAGAACTGGGATTAAAACAGCATCTCTGTTCCTCTTAGCTATGAGCATTCTTTATGTAGAACTGGGATTAAAATAGCATCTCTGTTCATTCCCTAGCTTCATTCAATTTTCAAAATTTTTTTTGTTTGACTTCCAAATGAATCTTTTCAAAATTAAAAGCTAAGAATGTTTCTTCCTAATGTATTTATGACAAACTCCCCTGGGGTAAATGCTGGCTCATTGTCTCTGTCATAAAGGAGGACTCACATGGGAAAATGAAAAATGTGTGCTGTTTATCTCACATGATTAATCTTCTTTGTTTATCACATCTTGTTCCAGAATAGGATTTATGGCAGTTTTCATATATTTAGATAAATTGAAGTAAAAAATAAATGGATGGGGCTGGGAGGGGAGGGCAGGAAAGTAAAAGAAGGAAAGATGAGATGAATTCAAGACTGCCATAAAGTTGTCTAAATTTGCTTGAGGCAGGTCACACATTTGACTTAAGTTTTGAAGCCATCAAAGAAAAAAGAACATTGGAGAAAACACATGGCACAGTCTCCATAAAAAAGAAACTCACCTGTTGCTTAGAAGAAGCACAGTTATTCCGGGTACTAAGTCAAGACAAAAATTTCTTCTTTGATTCCTCATAAAAAGGACCCTGTGACATAGTGAAGAATATCCTGAATAAATTGTAGTTTACTACATCTATGCGTTTTATGGGACTGTTTGTTATGGAGTCCTTCAGTGCAGGCACAAGGCACAATGCCAAGGTGAAGCACAGTTTATTAAAAGTGTTTCTGTGGGTGACAACATTTTGCAGCCTGTGTGTGCATTTCTCTGTTTGTCAGACTTAATCTATGGGTAGGTTTTAATGGTTCCTCTATGTGGATTGAATTACGCTTCAGGAAATCTTTCATAGATATTATTCTCTTAACTAAAGTTTGGATGGGTGTTGAGAGATAATAAATTTGTAGTTGGACTCCCTTACAAGTACTCTGGGTGCAACTACTTTGTGTTATTGATGAAGAGCAAAGCCACACACTTTATTGTTATGTGGCCTGGGAGTAGAACAGCATTTCTAATGAAGAGGGAGGGGCATTAGAATGAGCTTGAATAATAGCTACCCCATTTCTACTAAGAAAATGGCTGTGGGAAAAGTTGGTACAAAATTTCCCTCATGAGGCATTTTGGGATCTGCTTTAACTCATTGATAAAAAGGCCCCTTGAATCTGGCAACAATAATTTCAGCCTGAGGGGGAAAATATATATTGTGTGTATTTAAATACTCAGAGCAATTATGAAACTCAGCATGTTCTCCATTGGCCATTTAACCTTGAACATTCTAATTTCCAATGTGTCCCCCAAAATAAATTGGTTTCAAATCATATACAGAAGTAAATACATGAATCAAGTGTGTCCAAAATTAAGTCATAGTCAAATAAGTATTGCCTTCTATTGAACAAAAATAATGAGGTTGGTTTTAATGGAGTTGATAAGTAGCATTTCCTTTTTGGCAGTAATTAAGTAGTGGTTCAACTTGGAATTTTAGAATCATAAATGTGAAATGCTTTCATTTTTACCTAATAACTTTTTCGCTGTTTTTAAATAAACTTGTTACAAATGGAGTTCAGTACATTGAGAGACTTATTTATTTAACATGGCAGTAGCGTTAACATTGCAAAATCAGCTATAATAAAGAAGTCATTGCTCTTCAACATTGTATATAGGTTGTCTGATATTAATGATTAAGTTGTAAGCTCCACCAGAGCAGAGAACACTTTTTTCTTAAATTTTTATCTTTAGCCCTCAAAACAGTGCTTACTATAAAGTAGATATTAAGAGCAGTTGCTATTACTACATTAAACATTTTTCTCTAGTATGACCAAAACAGATAAAAATCAAGAGATGTTACTGGTTTTGAGTAAATATTATGTATTTAAAAGAAACAAGATATACATTTCTATACAAATGCATATCTGCTTTTAATCAGTTACTTTTGATTCCTTCTTTAATTAAAGAAGAGGCTATCACATTTCAATTAACAGTTTATGATAACATGTGAAGCATGATATAACCAAGCCACTTTTGCTTGATCCTTTGAACTCATATATCTTTAAAAATATTTTCTGAACATATATAGTCCAATCTAACTTAGATATTGGAAAAAATACAGAAAAGTTTATCTAAATACATTAGAAGCTTAATATGATGAATGAAAAGCAGCTGTCAAAGTTGGAAGACAATGGTTCTGTATTTGTGGGTCATTATAGCAATTAAAATATGGCAACTGCCAGATGTCTCTTATACTTTTGGATGATGAGTTCATGTTATCATGATGCTTTTGTGAAGCTGACTAACTGCTGAGTATTAGACTAAGTGTCTTAACAGGCTTAAAGACCAAAATTAGAAACCTTGAATTTAAAAGTTGCCATTTGCTTACTGTTGCTAATAGCTTACCTAAAGTGGCATGAGTAATAGAGATTTTTATCTCTGAATGATATTCCTGCCAGCACCACCAACTGTTGAATGTTAAACATGAGATTTGGCAGGTGCAGGCATTTTCTGTCACCTTCAAAAAGCAGTCTGTAGACACCCAAGCCAAAGAGCTTACACACTAACAAAAGCAGCATCCCTTCCATCTGGCGATGGAACAAACATGTCAGTCATCTTTCCGTCTCTGAGTGACAATATTTCTAGAAATGGATGATTTCAAACATTATTTCTGATTGTCAGAAAAAATTTTTTATTTACCTGGTGATTGGCTCTAGGCAAAATTAGGAAGTTAAAAAATGTCTTCAGCTTCTTCCTGCTGCTCTTTCAAGCCAGCTCCCACAACACCACTTTTACCCTGCCCAGTCATCCTAGCACATTTTGTTAACTTATTAACTCCTAGTTGTTGCTGTACCAAACATTGACCACGTTGAGTTAATGCTTACAACTGATGAATCTTCTCTCAGCCAACATATTTTTTAGGACTCCGTGTTTACAGATGATAGTATTTAGTAATTAATTAGGTAATTTATATCTTGGTGATTAGCTGCTGATTCGTTATAATCCCCAGGTTAAAAATGACTTGCATATATAAAATGTGACTTTTTCCCTCTAAAAGTACTTAAAGAGTAAGCATGGTTTTGAAAATGCTCATTTATTTCTAGTCGGCTTGGGAAATGTTTGGGAAATTGTTAGCTTATTCAGTGCCCCTGGAATTACAGATCTTAAGCAGCATTGTAATTTCTACTCCTCTATCTGGCTAACCCTATGTGGAAAATTTCTTTCACAAATGACTTTGGTAGAATTTGGCAAAGCTAGCAGAAGGTAAAAGTCTTTGAGGTTTGGCAGAATCTCTAAAATTTCAAAAGAACCTAATTTCTTATTTAACAGACTAATATGCTTATTCAAGCAATGAGATGCCAGACTTAATTTGACAACAGCAACAACAAAAAATTGAGCTGCTAGTCTGTGTGTTTAAATTAGGGGCTACTTAAATCAGAGTGAAAACAAAATTGATGTTGATTATATTTTATTTTCTACTTTCATGTAAGATGATACAATTTATTTCTCCTTTTTAAAGAGTGGGAATTAGGTATAGACAATTCTGTAATATTTATCCTGTCTTTTTTCAAGATAGAGTATCCAGTTATATCTTTTGCATAATGCAAAATTCTCACCATCACAGAGAACACATTTTAAATTTATGGCTCAGAGGGATTTCAATCATCCTTGGCATTCAGCACTCAAGGCGTTTCAGATATTTATTCAGAACAGTATAACAAGAAGTACACAACAGATTGTAATTTACATGCTGTACTTTTTTGCAACATATATTTGGAGTAAAAGCTTAGAGAATATGTACAAATAAGAATGTATTATGAGTATCACATGTTTTGACTACATACTTTGATAAGGGAATTATCACATATTTCATTTAACAGACTTTTTCTCAGCATAGCTTTATGCCAAGGGCATAGAAGGACACTCTTCTATTGTTCTGTTCTTATAGACGTGCAGATTATTTTGTGTCTACTTTAGGGTATGTGCACCTCCATGTGGAAACCATTGCTCTATGTGGTAGAGAGCAAATAGAAATATTTTCATATGGGATGCATTTTCTTGGTATGTAATCCCACCAAGATGCAGAGGATAGATGGAAGGGTTGGATGCCAAGAAATCAAATTAAGAGGTCATTGTGATAATTCATGAGGGCCTGAGGAAAGCTTGAATAAAAAAAGACAGAGATAAAGACAGAGAGAGAGAGAAGAGACAGAGAGAGAGAGGGAGGAGTGGGGAGTTAGTATTTTCTAGGAAGATAAGGAAAGAAAAGATAATCCAGGCAAAAAAATAAGACACAGTAGCTAATAGATAGGGTTAAAGAAAGACACAGAATTAGATGGAAAAAACTTTGCCAACACCCGTATTTAAAGAAGCAACAAAGAAATGAAGCAGCTATCAGAAGAAAGTTACATCAAGGAAATTTAATGAAGAAAACTTAACCAAGAAGTTACAAGGGTGTTGAGGGTAAGTACAGCTTTGACTAGCACAAATGCTGAAAGTGAGCTTGCCTTGCTACCAATGGTCATAGGTAAATGGAAGCTCTCTGGTCTTTATGTGCACATAAATCCAGTAAGAAGAAAGATACTTATTTGAAACAAATAAAAGCAAGAGAATAAGGAGTTAAGGAAGAGAATTTGATGGTTGACAATGGAAACAAAAGCTGTAGATGTATTAAAGAGTTTGAAAATAGACCCATTTGATTTGGAAATTAGGATATCTTGGATATTAGGATGCCCACGAGAGCAATTTTTATAAGAATGATATATAGAGAAGTCAAATTGTAATTGACATAGGTGATAGTGTATTAGGGAAATTGGGAAAGCAAGGCATTTTTTTTTTCTTTGATCTAGTCAACGCTAAGGCAGTTGGTTTTAAATAATTTGATGACTAGGGTCCAGGAGAGAGGCAGAACTAAAACACCTGGAAGAGATCAGAAAACATTGACGGGACAATTCAAGAAGAGACAAAATGTACAAGTGAAAGTGTGAATCTTGGGAGGGGAAAAGGTGGTACTATGAGGTATAAACAAGAACTGGGGAGGAGGTGGCCAGGCACTTTTCCCCAATGGCTTCTACTTTATAAACAAAGGAATAAGAGATTTGCTGAAAGTGAGAAAAGTAGAAATCTTCTAGGGAGCTTGAGGAGGAAGAATACCAGAATTGAAATACCAGATAGATTGAATATGGTGAACACATGATTAAGCGAAAATACTCCAGTTGCTAAGGAACCTCTGAAAACAGTGGCTTTTTTTTTTATACAGCTCTCACTGGTGCTTATCACCACAGTCTTTATGAGTCCCACAAATATTTATTGAGCTCAGCCTATGTGTCTGGAACTATGTTAAGGTCTAGTAAGTTTTATAGGATAAGAAGAAGAGGTCGCTCTTCAAGGAGCTTGTGTTTCTGTTCTGTCAGGTAGGATTAGGCCAAGGAAAGTAGTTTATTTCAGCTCATTCTCTTTGTATGGAATAGTACTTCATTGTCACATTATTCCATTTGGTGCTCATATGTGACTGCTTCTTGGTTTCCTTGCACTTTACTGGGCATGTTACCTGCATTTGGTGAATGGAGAAATAATTTATAATTTTAGCATTTTCTCTTTTTCCTTATGATTTCAAATATTGTTAGGCTGCATGTTTAGCAGTGCTGGCTGCTGTGAACACCTCTGTCTCAATTTAGCGTCATCCGTAATGATTTATATTAATGTGATGTCCCTGTGCAAGACCAGTAACCAGGATACTAAGTATAATATTAATTCCACTGACTTGTGAGAACAACATTCATTTATTTTAGCTTATCAGGTAATTTTTAACCTGCTTTTCAGGTAGGCATCATCGAAACATTTCTGACATCTATAATGTTTTCAACTTTTATTATTTTTTTTCCTCCACAAATTTAGAATGTCTTCTCTCAAATTTTATAAATTAAACTGCAATCATTTAATTTTTGCCACTATGCTGATTTATTTATTTATTTATTTATGGCACATGAATATTTAATAAATAATAAAAATATAACTAGCAAATTAAAAATTAAAAAAAGCTAGAATAAAAATAGTTACCAGAGAGACAGTTTATAAATCATTTTTCTCCTTTATTCAGTCAACATTTACCAATAAATTAAGGTAGAAATTCTGGGTTTCCATCCCTCCGTTTTCCTCCTTTTCACTAAAAAGGCAGGTATTTAGTTCTGGTGAGTTGATTCTAATGTGGATAGCAGGAGGGACTCTGGGTGGCTCCTACATCCCAACCTCAGTAACTGTCCAGGGCACTTGAACTAAATTAGTTCAATCAGAATGAAATGCAGAGTTTTATTCTCTGGTTAGATTTTTTTCCCCTAGCTCTCATGGCGTGGTGCCCAGATGTGAGACTAGGATCTATTGAGGCCAAGTTAGAGTGGAGGGGAGGAGACAATCAAAGATGACTTCAAGCTTCCATAAAATTGAGTCAAGCCCACCCTATCTCTGGTCATTTCATACATGTGAGCCAATGAAGCCCTTTTGCAATTTGTGATGGTAAATTTTATGTGTCAACTTGAGTGTGCTACAAGGTACCCAGATTAAACAGTGTTTCCATATGTATCTGCAAGGGTATTTCTGGATGGCATTGTCTCAGTGAAGTAGATTGCCCTCCCCGGTGTGGGTGAGCATTATCCAATCCATTGAGGGCCTGAGCAGAAAAAAAGCAGTGGTAGGAGTTTGCAGCTCACTGAAGAAGCTGGGATATCTCTTCTCACCTTTTTCTCACCTTGGCTTGAGATTTATTTAATTTACTAAATGATGTAGCAAATGATTCTAGGTTCTCAGGTCTTTGGACTCAGACTGAGTAATGAAACTGTCTTTCTTGGGTCTGCAGTGTGCAGACAGCAGATTATAGGATTTCTCAACCTCCATAATTGTGGGAGCAGTTCTTCATATTAAATATCTGTATATAGATATAAAATATATATTTCCTATTGGTTCTGTTTCTCTGGAGAACCCTGATGAATATACAGTTTGCACAATGACATCTTCCACATTATTACAAAACCCCATTATAAAAAGCAGTGTGGTAGAAACCCTTTGGAGCTAGAAAAACTGATAATTAATTGGAGCTCCATGAAACTCTGACACTAAACATCTCTGAATTTTTTTTACTTTCTGTAAAATGAGAATAATCAAACTCTGTTGCTGAGTTGACATAACAATTGAATAATAGATGTAGAATAACTACCACACAGTAATTTATTGTCAGAGTGTACTATTAGGGATACAGCATCAACTACGAGTTTTGGACACAACAGACTCAGTACAATAGTCTTTAGGATGGTTTTGAGAAGTTGAGGCAAATCTCTGCAGATAAGTAGGAAATATATAAATTGTGCATTTCCATCAACTGGAACTAGTTTTATAATCTTCAGTATTGCTTATTATTAGCAGGAGTTCTGGGAACTTCGGTGCCCACTGAGTGAAAGCTTTCTTTCTGCCTCCTATCACAATGTATTTTACACATTTCTCTGAATGGGCATCTGATTACAAGAGAGTTCACATATCACCTCTAGCCATCTTAGTTTTTAAGTAGGATCCTAAGTTGGGACTAGAAATCAAATTGACACAAGAGAGATTATCAGGAGAAATGCATACAAGTTTTATTAATTTTTGCATGGTACATAGGGACACTCACAAGAAAATGAAGACCTGAAGACATGGCCAAAAGATAAATCTTTTATACATTTTAGACAAAGAATGATAAATTTGTGAAGAAATGACAGGACAAAGGGACCTGAGCTAGAGGCAGTAAATTCTAGGAAAGTCACTAGAAGATGTATGGGGATGGGGAAGTGGGACATGTAAAATCAAGGAAGGTAAGAGTTTCTTCAGTAAGTTTATTTATATAGGTCCGTTAAAGCAACTATTTCCAGCCTCTGATTATAATGGTTATTTTCTCACGCTGGTATGAGAGGATCCTCCTCAGAGGATTTTTTATGGCTTGCTGCATTTGGGAAAGGACAGGTCAGATAGCGCTTTCTGAAAGTACAGTTTCTCAAGTGCTTTCACCTTGAAATAATCAAAATGGAAGTGGATTCTTCATTAATAGATTAATGCACTCCAGGGTGGGGTTGAGAGGTGAGTGAGTTCTTGCTCTGATACTTTCCAGGAGAGCTGGTTGTTAAGAAGAGCCTGACACCTCCCCTCGGCCTCTCTCTTGCTTCATCTGTCACCATGTGACATCCTCATTGCTTTCCAACATTTCTGACACACACACATACACACACAAAGAAGACTTTCTCCCACAAAGGTTTTGCTTGCCATGCTAATTTTGACCTTTCCCTAGTTAATAAAGATGGATATACTCCTCTAAACTCTTAGCTAGAGCTAAAGTGCTTCTACAAATTGGACAGATTGTCTGTGACCACCTTATTGCCTCCCCTTCCGTGAGTGCTGGAATGATCTGGAGACTCCAGTGGCTATGCAGCTTCTCTCACATCAGACTCTGGGCACTGGTCAAGGCTAAACTTAAATTTGCCTTGCGTACATTGCATTAGACCTGAAGCCCATTTCCCCATCTCTTCCTCTGGAGCTATCCTCAAGCAAGGCTAGGTTTTCAGGCCCTGACATTACCTATTTTTTGCATCTTCTTTCCTTAGGCATGCTATCAAAAGAGTTCAGTGGACTTCGTGGTTGAGTTCTTTAGATTCAGAAAAAAAGTTAAAAATTTTGATAATTATGAACATTTTCAGAAAGCATCAGATTCTTAAATGGACTGGAATATAATTTAGTACTTTTTTAAAAGTAAACAAATTTGGCTAGCATTATTGAGCCTTAACTATGTGCCAGTGATGAGGCTAAGAATTTTATATGCATTTTCTCATTCTAAAGAAGGCATACTTTCAAGACTTCTGTTCTCATTTCTCTTAGAATTGCAATACTTGGGAATGTTAGTTTCCCTCAACATAGATGTGATTAAATTAAAAAGTAGACAATATTAATAACAAAAAGCAGAGAAATTTCCTGTATGTCTTCCTATTATTTAGATAGTCAAACTCAAAAAAGAAATAAATAGTAGTGGCCTAAACCTGAGTTGGAATATCCTTGCATTATGAGAAATATGAAAACAGAGAAATAAAAAATGCAGAAAAACTGATGACAAAACACCTGTAGTTTTGCATGCAGCAATCTATAAATTTCTTACCCTGGTTATATTTCATTTCAACTTAGAAACTTATACAAAATTATCATATGTTCCATACACAGAATTGATAACATTAAACAGAATTTTTTTCTATTGGGTTGTGAGTCATAGATTACTCTTCTTTTGTCCAGTAAACAGCAGAGTTCAGTTGTAAGTATAAAGTATTATATTTTATACTTTTTCAGTTGTAAGTATAAAGTATTATATTTTATACTTTTTCAATTGTAAGTATAAAGTTTTCATATCATTTTTATATCTGCATTTTCCTTGACAGACGAAGTAAATAAATCAAGTAGTAAGTAAATCAAGTAGATTGATACTTATGATGCAATTAGATTTATGACTTAGGGTTTCTCTTTTCAGTCATTCTAGGAATTCAATGAAAACAGACTTCTTGCGTGCATAATTATTTCTTTTTCAGGCCTCGAATCTGGGTGTTACTTAGGAACTTAGGGAAATAGAATACAGTGAGAATTGCCTGTGTAATAATGTGAGCTTCATAATGTTTGAGCTGAGAAAACCAAGAAAATTTTATTTCCTGACCTATGTACTCATGGGATGTTCTGAAGATTAATGTGTCTCTTTCATGGCACTAAGGTACATTTAGAGCACTAAAGAAGTCATTTACTAAATGGTGCCCTTGAGACTTGAAAGAGTTAATGTACCTCTCACAAGGTGAGCAATGTACTCTCAAATGTATGCAAAGATCCGCACCAGAGCTTATAAAGAATTGTATAAATGTTGGTTAAAAGCAGCTGCAAATCCATAGCTCTATTATTTATTACTGTAATCTTCAGTCAATCTATTTGCTGGTGTTTGGTGGGTGCAGTATAAACAATGCAGACAAATGTGAATCTTCTCACTTTTAAAAGTGAAAACATCAGATTCTATAAACACTTGCCAAGGGAAAATATTGTACATGTGTTAATATTACCTAAATGGCTTGGATTTCCAGAACAAGACAAACTATGGAAATTTAGACCTTCACTCCAAAAGTTAAAATTAGAATAGTGTTGAATCCTTTGCAGATTTTCTCTGTAAAAATCTCCATGAATTATTTAAAGATATAATTCTGAGAAAATTCACAATGTGTGATGTTAAGTGATAGAGGAGCTAAAATAGAATATATAATTTAATCACAATTTTATTGAATAAGTAATATAAAAGCCTAAAGGAAATTCGGCAAAATATTAACCATCTTTTACTCTAGGTGATGGGATTATATGTTTTCAGTTTTATTTTCTTCTTCTATGTTTTCTGTTTTCTCTAAATTTTCTGTGATTAACATGCATTATAAGACTTTTTCTGGAGATTGTAAAATGTTGTTGAAAAAATGTTAAAACAGGTTAGTAGTGACTTTGACTTGCTGAAAGAGGATAATGTTGTTATTTTGCTTTTATTTTCTCTGAAGAAAGAAATCTGAGTATCACTCTCAGCATGATCCTTGTCAAAGGAAAAGCTATGCTCTTCTCAGTGACTCTTACAGAGAACTCGATTACTCTTCACAGCCTGGTCCAAGATTCTCAGTAATGAAGTTAGACAAAAAGAAAATAAGAAACTCTGTATCTTGAATGATGGTGGGCCTCAGGACTTTTGCTTGCCTTTCTTCTCAACCTTCTTATTCTTGCTGGTTGATGTAATCTACGCTCGTAACTTCAATTGCCATTTACATGCTAAAAACTCTCAAATACCTTTGGAATAGATTTCTCTCCAGTTTTCCCTATCCACATATACAAACACCTAGTACATGTGGATATTGCTAGTAGTTACTGCATAATAAATACACCTTCGATTGAACCCAAACACTTCCCCAAAGCTCCTTTTGTTTTTGCACTACTTAGAAAATGACACTATCATTCTCTCAGTTTCCTAAAGCAAAAATGGAGGCACCATGGTTGACTTCTTATATCCTCATTTAATAACTAATTCTGTAAATATTACCCCTCATATATTTCTCAAATGTCTTGATTTCTCTTGAACTCATTCTTACAATCCCTATGAGGGTCTTCAATTTATCTTATATGAATTAGTGCAATAATCGTGGAAACTACGTCGCTTTTTTCAGCCTCATCTTTCTCTGTCATCCACATTGCAGCTAAAGTCACATGAAGTCAGATTGCATACCCACATTTGTCCCTGTTTTCAACATTTGAGTTCTTTCCTCCATAAATTTTGCTTCCTGTAAACAAAAATTTGAGGAAAGCTTTAATTATATGTATAGCAAAAAATTACAGACTTCTTGTTAAAGATAGTAGTTTGAATTCATGAACTGACTTTCATTTCTTCCTCAAACTATACAAAAGTGATATACTATCAAGTTTTTTTTTCTTTTGGCATAAATACAAGAGGCCAAATAGAATTTGGAGTAGAATAAGACTTATTTTCAGCATGAATTTAGAAATGCTTTGTCTAAAAAATAGGACTAGCTCAAGAGAAATGGTGTTACCCTCAGTATTTCTCCCAAAGGAATGGCCCAAGTTTACCAGCATCACCCAGCTCTCACACACACATGCACACACACACACACACATACACACACAAAACGCAAAATCAGTTTTGGGTTGTCTCACTCTTAGATGTGAGAAGATGACTAAAATTTACCACACTTTAGGAAACCCTTTAATATCAAAGACAGAAGCTAAAACAAACAGAAGCACAAAACGAAAATAAAACCTTGGAAGAGATAGTCAATATAGGGAAAATAACACTTCAAAAAATTATTAGAGACTGTGGAGGGCTGCAGAAATTCAGTGGAAGGGTAATGGAACTGCGCTGCAGCATGACTGTGGTGATAAATAAATGACTTTGTGTATAAACGACATTGTGTATTTGTCAAAACCTGCACAACTATACAGCATTAAGAATAAATAGCACTAAGAATAAACAATTATATGCAAGTTTTAAAAATATCACCAGGATGTCAGTGGAGCCAAAGGAGAATATAAACTGTAACAAATAAAATCTAATTATATAACATATGAATAATATAACCATACTGAAGAGGTTGAATTGGGTGCCTCCAAAAAGATATGTTAATGTTTGAAGCCCCTGGTGCCTGTGACTATGAACTTATTTGAAAATAGCTCTTTGCAGAGGCAATCAATTTAAAATGAAGTCATTAGTGTGGGTCCTAATCCAATCCAAAAAGAAGAAATCTGGACACAAAGACAGACACACACACAGTGGGAAGACAATGTGACTATATACAGAAATCAGACAGCAATATGACTAGAGTGATGCACCTACAAGCCAAGGAACCCCAGAAACTAGAAGAAGGAAGGAAAGATTGTCCCCTAGAGTCATCAGAGAAAGCATGGCCTGCAGACATATTGATTTCAGACTTCTAGCCTTCAGAACTGTGGGACAATGAATTTCTTAAATGTTTTAAACCACCTTGTTTTTGTTACTTTATTATAGTAATCCCAGGAAATGAATACAGTAAGTTACATTGGAAAACAGCATTTTAACTGGGTTCCATAAGGCTAATAACAAAAAGAAAAACTGTGCACAAATACTGTACTCTAGATAAGAAGTTTGTTTCTCAAAGGAAGTCCAGTTAGAGTTCTGGAACTACTTTAAATACAGAGTAGTGTTGACCAAATAAATGAATATATTGTAGACAATGTAGATTGAAAGATGTTTCTCAGTTTTGGAGAATGTAGTTACAAATAAGGAAAGGGGAAAGGCTACATGGACCCAGTGGAGCTGGATTAGAATTGGAGATGTCAATATAAGCTGTATGAGTATTTTAAAAAGATAAGTACAACTAAATATGTATGTAAATATAGATGTGTATATATGTGTGTAAAGTCCTAGAAGCAATAATACCCAAATAGTAATGAGCACACTGAGAACCACAATGTAGTTTCTAAAAATTATGGTTCAATAAATCAGAAACCAGAGTTTCTGGGAAAAGTAGCTGATTCCAGGCTGGAACAGCATAAATACAAGATAAGCCTGGAACATCTTGTTGTGGTGTCTGTGTACTTTCTGGAGTAACTAAGTGCTAAAAAACATGTAGACGTAAGTTGGATGGTCACTGAAACTAATCTGAATCAGTCCCTAAAATGAAAACAATTGAGCAAGAAAATAAAGATAGTACTGAATTATAAAATCAACAGTCATGAATCCATATCAATATAAAATAAGTAACTAAATAAATAAGTAAATAAAAATATGTTGTAGGGATTGTAAGGAGAAATCCCTTTCAAACAGAATAATGTAATTATTCCAATTAATAAATGTAGAAGGCACACAGAAAATAAAAATCACAGACACAACAATAATTATTGTAAGCAATATCCACCAACGGAAGCTAAACTTAGGGTGCAAACTTTTGAGATGAAACGTGGCATATGCTGTCTTAAGATATCTTTCTTAAAATATTTATTAACTACAAAAGAAAATATACATTAAAATTGGGATAAAACAGGCAGAAACCACCTTATCTAGGTGATCAAGGTAAATATCACCAGTGATAGCACATATCATCATCAGGTATCCTTGATATGACATACTCAGAACAGCACATAACTTTTATATTCTTCCCCAAAATCCACAACCTTAATTTATTCATGGGAAAATATAACACAGATCTAAATTAAATGATATGCTAGAAAAAAACTGATCAATACTCTTCAAGAGTAAGGTCATGAAGACAAGGAAAGACTGAGGAACTGTCACAGACTAGAGGACACTAAAGAGACACAATGATTAAATGCAATGTGGAATCCTGGAAGAGATAAAGGGCGTTAGAGAAAGGAAAAAAAAAAGAAACTTATAAAACACGAATGAAGTCTGTAGTTTAGTTTATGTATTGTAACAATGTTAATTTCTTAGTTTTGATCATTGTACTATAGTTATACAAGATGGTATCACTAGAGGAAATTGAGTATGGATATATGAGAACTCTGTATACTATTTGAAACTTTTCTGTAAATCTGTTTTATTTTCAAAATAAAAACAGAAAAAGTATACCAATGGTATCTTTAGAGAGATAAGAAAATACATTGTTCCATGAAACAAGAGCTATAAAAATAGTGCTGTGGTTTCAATGTGTCCTCCAATAAGCATGTGTTGGAAATTTAATCCCCAATGTGACAGTGTTGGGAGGTGGGGTCTTAATTATGAGACATGATTAGGTCACAAGTGTGAAGTGAATGGATTAATGCCATTATGGCAGTATATGAGCAAGACATGGAAGATAACATGGAAGTCTGTTATCTCAGAAGTGGGTTCCTTATAAAAGGAGGAACCTTTTTTAAAAGGTTTTATAAAAGGTTTTAAAAAAAACCTTTTATAAAAGGAAGGCAAGCTTGCCCTCCTTTTGCCTCTCTCTCTCTCACTCTCTCTTTGCCCTTCTTCCACCATGGGACAATGCAGAAAGAAGGCTCTTGCCAGATGCCAGCCCCTAGATCTTGGACTTCCTAGCCTCTAGAACTATGACTTAACAAAGTATTTCTGTGTTAGCTGAGTAATAAATTACTCCATCTGTGGTACTGCATTACAGCAGCACACAACAGATTAAGACAGAAAATTGGTACTGAGAAGTGGGGCTGCTGCTATAAAAAATAACTGAAAATGCAAAAGCAGCTTTGGAACTTGGTAATGGGTAGAGGCCTAAACAGTTTTGAAGTGAATGCTGAAAAAAGCCTATATTGCTGTGAATGGAGCATTAAGGGCAATTCTGATTAGGGTTCAGAAGAAGAGAAGAACCTGTAGGGAAGGTCTGATTTTTCTTAGAGATTACTTAAATAGTTGTGAGCAGAATGTTGGTAGAAATACGTGTGGTAAAGGCAATTTTGATGAGATCTCAGCTGGAAATGAGAAATACGCTATTGGAAACTGAAGTTAAAGCCATTTGTGGTATAAAACGGTAAATAATTTGGCAGAATTTTATTTCTGTCCTACAGCTTTATAGAAGGTAGAATTTAAGAGTGGTAAACTAGGATATCTGGCAGAAGAAATTTCTAAGCAAAATATTGAAGGAGATGCATGAGTACTTTTAACTGCATATAGCAAAACATGAAAAGAAAGAAATAATTTAAAGGTGGAATTTATAATTGAAAGTGAAACAAAACTCAGGCATTCAAAGAACTCTCAACCTGACCACATGGCAGAATTAAAGGACTTTTTCAAGAGAGAAAACTTTTTCAAGAGAGAAAACTAACAGAAAACTTTTTCAAGAGAGAAACAGAAAACTGTTTACTGGGGAGGTTAGTATGGGATAAAATGAAGCCAGAGGCATATCATTACAACAAGGATAGAATGATCCAGAAGGCACTAGTCAATATAAAAACTACATTGAACTTTTTAGTAGCAGCATTGGAAGCCAGAATACAACAGAGATATTTTAGTGAAAAATAACTTTCAAATTAGAATCTAAACAAGCTAAACTATAATTCAAATGTAAAAGTAAAATATAGACTTTTTAATACAGGATACAGGTAATGTTTTAAAAGTTTACCTTTAATTCACTTGTTTTGGAAAGCCATTGAAGGATGTATTTCAGCAAATCAAGGGAGTAAATATTAAAGTAAAAGTCATGGGTTTCAGCACAAATGAGAAGAAAAGGAAAATATTAGAATGATAAAGAGAGTTTCTTCCTCACTCTCAAAAAAGGATGCTCTGCAAGAGATTTTCAAGAAGACTTAAACAGAATAGTCAATATAATACTTAATGAGTCTTGTGCATTAATAAAAGAATTATATCACTGGAAGAGAATAGAAGGGTAAATAAATGAAAACCTCAAAACAAAAAAAGAAAAAAGAAGAAATAACTAACTGATTCCCAAATAAAAAAAATAAATAGGGAAAAACTCCAAAACCATTAAGATTGTTTTGGCTAACATTAAGAGAACATCTACTTTGTGCTATGTGCTGTTTTAAGTGCTGTACATTTATTAACTCAATATTCTTAATGATTATTCCCATTTAATGAATGTGACACTATGTCCAAAGAAATTAACTTATATTCCCAAGGTCACACATGATAAACAGCAGTGACAGAGTCAGAGCCCAGTTTGTCACTGGAGCATGCATTCTTTGCAACAGTGCTCCAAGAGCTCTCACATAATAGAAAGCATTAGAGGGATACTGTGATTATGTGGACCTTTCCTCAGATAAAGTACAAGAACCCTGGGGTCTATATTCCGACTCTACCATTTACTATGAGGTATTCAAGAAGTCAGTTTACTTCTATGGACTTTCGCTTTCTTGTCTGTATTGAAAATAATAACTAATTCTGAGTGCTGATGTTAGAATGGAATGAGTCAATGTCAAGTCAAACAGAGGGAACAAACTAATATGAAGCCAAGCATAGAGAATGGAATATAGTAGGCACTCAAAAAATGTAAATTGATTTAAATTAAATAGATTAATGAAATGGATATAAAATTCAACTCTTAGTGCATCTGAAATTCTTTATTCTACCTATAGTTCCTTCTGGTTGTCTAAAGAAAAGCCATGGATAGTATAGGGAAAGCTAAATCATACACATATTTTGACGATTTAAAATAGATGGTCTAAATTTCCTTATACATCTATTATTTTTCCCAGAATCAATCTAGAATAACTATTGGTTAAACTACCATGATATTATTTAAAATGCTCCTTTACCAAAAATAGTGTTTTTTTTGTTTTGTTTTTTTTGGTTTTTTTTCGTAAGATGAATTCATGCATCTGACTTAATTGCTCTTGTTAAAATTATTCTCTTGGGTTGCTGTGAATGAATCATAAATTCAGTCAATACTTTTACACTCCAGGGATAAAATTTTGACAACCTTAAAATGAATTTGCTTCTAAATAATCAGAATCTATGAAACTTTATTCTAAAATATCTGATTTTAATTATTTGGGCTAATACATTTTTATTGTCTCTGATCATTTCCCAAGTGTCCAGAGAAACATTTCTGCTTTAGCATATTAATAGCTGTTATGAGAAAAAGGTGTTCCATGATGATAAAATATTTGGAAAATGCTGAGCTAATAGTAAGATGAGTTTCTTTTCTGTAACACTTTTGACAGCTTCAACGTGTGAGTTTATGCATGAATCTCTAATGGTGAATAAAATGTGCAATTTCTCAAAATTGATTTCACCATAACATGTTTTCTTTTGTCTGGTTTTTATTTGTTATTTGTTCCTGAAGCTCCATTAAGACATTTTTTTTTTCCCAGAAAACACTTTAGGAACAAAAGGCTTAACTAATATATGCAACAGGAGGGTTGACATCGGTAGCTTACTTTATTTTTATGTTAATTTTAATCTTTTCTACTTTCTTCCTATTCCTTAAAGCTGAAATTTCTCTCTATAAGTATGTGCAAGGACCATCCTCCTAATTCCTCTTTAAAACTTATTTATTTCCCTCAAGTATTTGATACCAATAGAAAGAAAAAAGATCAGGCCAGGTGCGGTGGCTCATGCCTGTAATCCCAGCAATTTGGAAAGCCGAGGTTGGTGGATAATGCAGTCAGGAGTTCAAGACTAGCCTGGCCAAGATGGTGAAACTCCATCTTTACTAAAAATACAAAAAATTAGCTGGGCGTGGTGGCAGGCACCTGTAATCCCAGCTACTCGGGAGGCTGAGGCAGAGAATTGCTTCAACCCGGGAGGCAGAGGTTGCAGTGAGCTGAGATTGTGCCACTGCAGTCCAGCCTGGACAACAGAGAGAGACTCTGTCAAATAAATAAATAAATACATAAGATCAATAAATTCAGAAACCACACATGTAAATGAGGGGACACGTAGTTAAATCTAATACTCAACATGAAAGAGCAACTTTCACCATAAAAAGTATTCTTAATTTTGATGTTACAAATATAAACCAAGTTACTGTTGAATAGTAGTTCAAATTGTAGGTACTGAAGTCTGGGTTGGAATCAAATCTAAGCACATAGCTTTTCAAGATTTAGTTTCACAAGTAAATGTTGTGAAATAGACATGCAAGTTTGTCATGTTTTCTCTATAAGGTGGAAGATATATTTTGCTTTTTTGTCCCCTAAGAATATTTTATTTCTAGAAAATGAAATAAACAATAGTCATATAACTAGTCTCCAGAAAGTCATTTTGTGTACAACTGTTTTATTTCATTTATTAAATGTGAGAAACTTGATTAATTAATTTAGCATCCTAACCTCATGTCATTGGAGTACCCACTTTCTGACCTCTAAAATATAGAACACACACACACAAAATCCAAATTTCTGTTTTCCATAGAAACTGTCATGATAAACCATCATATTAAAAAATTATACATAAGTCAATAGTCCAGGCAATTATTTGGATTGTTTACAAAAACAAAAATACTCTAAACAGATTATCCAGATAGATGAATTTTACTTTATATAAACATTGGACTCTAAATCTTCCCCAAACATCCATCATTTGGGGCATCATAAAGAGATTCACCAGATAAAGAGACACCCCTAATATTTAGCCTAGTTTCTCCTCCTTCTTAGATTCCTTTCTATGAAACTGGAGGTTAACATCAACCACAGAGAGCAGTTTTTCTTTGTCTTAGAGACACCATAACCTACATCACAGATTTTTCCCCATTTTTTTTTCCCACTGGGTGAAGTGTAAATCAACATGTTACTCAACGTTTACAGAGAAGCCTATTCCTCTCATACCGAGAGTAGCCATATAGGTATCCTCTCCTAGGGCAAGGCTAAAGCAGAAATCCTTATGGAAGGTGCTAGGTTTCAGTGACATGCAATACATTTTTGTTGTCAAGACTCTGTGATAAATATAACAACAATCATATTCATAATGAACCTTTTCTTCATACAGGTTCTCTTCACAGCAAAAATACACATTTTATAAATTTGTTTAATTCCTTCCAATGTATAACATTCATGAAAATAAATGTTTAAATGACTCTGATTTTATTTAACCTCATGCATATATATGTCCTGACACATTTTTTTCCTATGAAGACAATATATCCTTCCATAAAGGCCACACTTGCATCTCATTTCTCCACTATTAAAGTTTAACTAAAAGCAAAGAGCCACCAATGCATAGCAAATTTTACAGTGCAAGCAAATGTTGTCATTAGAAGAACATCTTCCACTGTTAACCTCTGGCTCCAGTGACAGCAATCCAAAGAACAGGGAGGAAGAAACAACGTGGCAAGCAAAAGATGCCATTTGCTGGGAGCACAGAACAAGATAACTAGCTGGAAGTTAATAAATTATAAGTACTTCTAAGTGTGATCCATAATCTATTTTTTAATGGATTTTAACTACATATCACCTTTTACAAATATAATTTTCCATCATTAAATTGTTTTAATTATTTCTTAAGAAACCGAAGAAAACACGTTAACCTTAACTAACTATAATTTAACTTGCATTTGCAGTTTTCTTTAAGTATTTTAGTTTTAATTATTTCCACTTAACTAGAAAGCATTAAGACTAGTGTATAGGTTCATAAATGTAAAATAAGAAACAATAGCTTTGGGATTAGTTTTAGTTTTGTATATCTTGGAAAAAAGGAACTTGAATATATTTCCCATCTTTGGATATACATGAATAGAAAACCTAAAAGTTCAGTCCTTTGACTGGATATCATTCAAGAATTAATACTTTATTGAATAAAAATTCTATTCAATTATGTATAAATAAATGATTTTAATGATTAATATCTGACATCTATCTATATATCTATCTATGGTGAATTGCAAAAGATGGCTATAGATAATTCCTACTACCTGTATGCATGCTTCCTTGCAATGTGACTAGCACACTTTCCATCAAAAGATAAAATCTATTTCCACTCCTCTTAATCTGAGCTGGCTCTGAGATTTTCTTGGACTAATACAATGTGGTAGAATTGATGCTATGCAATTTCTGGATCTAGGCCTCAAGGATACTTGCAAATTCTACTGTAACCCTCTTATAACATATAAGAACACCTTATAACCAAGCGAAAAAGCCTTAGATAGTCTCCTAGAGAGTAAAAGATTGCTGAGGGGAAAAAAGAAAACTCAAATGACAAAGCACCAACTTACAGAATCATGAATTAATACATGGTTGTTTTAAACCGCTAAGTTTTGGAATGTTTTTTCTTTAACAATAGGTTAATGAGATGTTTTTGCAATCATCTTAAGTGAAGATATTATATTTCTGCTCTTTACATGATTTATAAACTATTTATATCATTCTAATTTAGAAGCCATTAAAGAATTTTATTAGCTAATGGTATACATTGGCTATCAATTTTATTAATTGAGAACAATGTTTTGATTTTTTTTATTGAACAGGTTGGTTTTCTTCCAGTTAAGTATATTGCACTGAACCTTACTTAATGAATGCTATTATATGGTTGCAGAATGTGTTTTTTGGGTCATTTGGGACATTCTTGTTTTCTTTGAATATCATCCTCACACTCTTTAGTTCAGTGTCATTGGCATTCTCTCATTAAGCTCATTGTTAAAAGTGTGAATTCCCACTGGGTATAGGATCAACCATAGAGGAATGCTTCTTGGTTCTCTCCATTCAGCTGAAAACAGCTACACTCCTGACAAGAGTCTTTGATTGCTCCTGCCCTATTTCCATCAAGAATAATGTGTTCTTGGCAGATTTGGCCACATCCACCCCTGAGTTTAAAAAACAAACAAAAAAAAGGACTTGATTCCAGATTGGAAACACATTGCCCAGACGTGATGTGAAGGTGTTTTCTTGTATCCATTGTGCCTGGGGTGAATGGAGCACCATATCAATATGCATAGTTAGCACAGACATTATACCTAATCACTTTTAATACTTCTCAATTTATCTTGATTGATTACCTTTCAATCAACAACATGGATATCCTTTACTCTAATAGAAGTTCCACCTCCTAGAAAGCTCATCCCTAGAAAGCCAAGTCTCAGATCCCATGGATCACACCTCTTGGTTATGGCTGCTGACCAGAATCAGATTCAAGTATGCTTGCCTGTGTGGAGTTGGTGATTTATACATTGCTGAATCTTTTCCAGATCTCTTTTGCACTGTCCAGAAAGAATTTGCATTTGTTCTTTCTTTGCTGTCTGATCATATCAGCCAACACAAATAATCACTCACTGGAAAGAAGCTTTCTGATTGACACTCAAGGATTATACATTAATTAGAATTTTAAGAAGGAACAGGATGCATGCTCAAAGGGAAAATTGAAGGGAGTTTAATAAAATGATGCTTTTCAGAACTGAGAATGAGATGAAGGAATTACTGTCCTTAGAGTTGCAGTGGCAAGTGAAAGTTGTGTCCTTAAGGGAACTGGGTACAAGGTAAAGTCATGGAAAGGGAGGCACTGCCAAAACAGTACTCCTGATCAAGAAGAAAAGGGTTTGAATAAATATCCTAGATTCGCTTTCCTTCAGACTTCCAATCTCCAGCTGATTTCTTCCATTTGCCAAGTCCAACAAGAATCTAGAGGGCAAGGGAGCTTTTGGGGAATACAGTAGGGCAGAGAAGGACAGAATGAATATGGGGGAACAGACACTAACCATCAGAGTTGGGGTAGAATGGCTACCATATTCTAGATTGAATTCAGGCCTTTTCTCCTACTTAGAGCAGAGGGAATGTGCTCAGGTACTTCTGGAAAATAAGATGAGCTCTCTGTATACCAAATATGGAGTGGCAGGAAATTAAACTTTATCATATGCAGACAATAAATACAACAAAATAAAAGGATTTATAACCTGTTGCTACAGCCTGCCTTTCCCTAACTAGAGAAACGTATGAGGAGTGTGCACGGGCTCTAATTATCGACAATTTGGCTTTAAATCCTGGATTCTCTACTTTCTTGCTGTATAACCTTGAATAAAATGTTGATTTTTTTTGTTTGTTTGTTTCTTTACTTGTAAAATGGAGAGAAAAATACTATTTATATAGAATTACTATATATTAAACAAAAAGATGATTATTGGAAACTTACAATATGCTCAGAATTTAGTAAGCTCTAAATAAATTTGAGCAATTGTTTCAATTTAAACATTGTTCGAATTGTTAACTTTGATTATTGCTACTTTCTTCTCATTTAAATAATAGGATCATTCCTGAAGGTGAGGGTCTCTGGACTTCAGCATCTAATAATACATTTCTTTCAAGAACTGTGAATCCATCTTTAAATTTGATAAATAATTAATAATATACTTAATAGAAATTAAACAAATAAAATCAATTCTAACATATTATATTTCATTTTTAATAATAAGAAAGAATATCAGGAGCATTGATAAGCCATCTGATAGAAAAGTTTATGACTTAAGTCCTAGGCCAATATAGATTAGAGTCTTTACTCATGAAAGTTACTCAGCATGTTTTAATTAAAATCTCATTGCTGAGTCCAAAAGTGGAGGTGATTGGAGCAATGAACATCTTAGTGAAAAGATATTTATGGCAGCTGGAAATGTATTAGAGACTATCAAGAAATTAATCAAGAAGTTTGTTGCATTGAGAATTTTTACATTTGAAATTTTAATAAAATAAACTCAAATTTGTATGGACAACCTTTTTACAATCACAGCTTTAATTGAATATTGTTTATTTTTTTTGACTCTTTTAAAGATTTTGGGATGAAATACAGTTTTGAAAAACCTCTCCTGTCATATTCACATGTTTTGCTTTGTGGTAAGTTCTCATGAGTGTTACTCTATGACAAATTAATGGGACAAGATACAAACCGTTAGATGAGTCTGGGATTAGAACAAAGGAAGTGTTAGTTCAAAATGTTATATTTCAAAAAAATCACTAGAGTGTTAAGTGATGATTTATAAATACAGCCAAACTTCTAACCTCTTAGAAAATTCGAAAAACATTTATCAAACCCAATAAATAGTAATTTCTTCAGGGTACTTTTCAAAGGGTATTTCATCGCTAGTTTTATTTTTATTTATTTTTTAAAATTTCAATTTCTCATGAAAACAAGTTGTATAGCTATGGTATTACTCTAGCAAAATGATTTCCATAAATAAAGTAAGATACAATGGAAAGGAACATATATAAAGATTAATGCATCAGACTTTTAGGCTGATGGTTACTAACTGTAATTCTTGAGCCAGAAGTTATTGGAAAGAAAATCTCTCTTGTAGAAACAGGCAACAAATCCCAAACTATCTGGGTAGCACAAGCAATTTACTTTCCCTTGACTTAAAGAATTGTGGTTTTATAGCCATTTTCCTCGAGTGTATTGATTTCATATGCAGTTTTGTACAATGATATAATACATCTGAGCTTCACATACAAAGACAGAAAGGATAACTAACATTTGTGTCATTTGTCAACCAAAAAGTAATCAATGGGACCTGGTCTCAACTTAGAGGTGCAAAGCAACAAGGGTAAAATTCTCTTCAATCAAAGTACCTCAGTGACAAAAACCTTAAGGATATTTCAGAAGAGAAGAAGAAAAAAAAACAAGAAAAGAAATCAATGTTAAATGCTTGTTAGAAAATAAAATCACGTGTAAGTTTTTATCATCTTTTTATCAAATGCCACTTCAGTGGCATGGTAAGTGGCTAGTCCTTTGTGTGTGAATTTCTACCCACCCAGAAAAAGTGTGAGTTCTTTAACTCACAAAAGCTTACGAATGTGAATACTCAATAAATGTAGATTCATTTAAATAGAAAATCATTTGGAGGGCAAATATGCTACCACATCAAAGTGTGACAGTCCTTTATAAATTTCAATACAAAGTTTGAATATTATTTATGCCTCATTTACATATATCAGTATAATTATTCATTATCATCAGGAAAACATCAAATAATTAACTATTCAACACAAATGATAGTATTCAGAGGCAGACCTAGTCAAAATTCTAAGGTTGGTGGAGCCTTTTCTTCTTTTTTCTAACTTTTCTTTGCCTGTACTCTCCTTCTATAACTCTACTCATTATACCCAGTATACAATACAGTGTTCCTGTGTTACTCCGTTGCTTCCCTCTTAGAGTCTGACTGAGTTCAGTTTTTGCTCCTATGTGTTCTACCCTAACCTCTTCTCAAATAACTTGCACCTCCCATAGCCACCCACAAGTAGACAGGGGATGACTTGACCACATTGCTCTGGGCCCCGGTAATTGGATAGCTGAGAACCTCCGATTTAAAAAGGCTAATGGACAGACTGACTGACAGATAACTCATCATTTTTGTGCCATCCTTCATTATGCTGAGCAGGGTTAATCAGATCTCTGTCTCAGAAATTTGAAACAATAGAGAGGAAAGAGTTACAGTGGGAAGTGTGTGCTTGAGTTGAAAAAAGAAAGAAAGAAAGAAATGAAATGAAGTAGAGTTAGAACTGCACTGACAAGTATGAGGCTTTGTGCATGAGAGGTTATGAGGGAGAAAAGCCTCAGAGGGAAACAGTTAAGGGAGAGACGGATGGGATAGACTCACAGAAAGCAGAAGCACCGAGAGAAATCACATAACCCCAGAGAAGGGAGAGAATAACTTCAATCCTTAATGTTTCCATTTCTAGCTCCTATTCACATGAGGCCTGGCTTTGATTATCTTCTGGCCTTTGAGATCTGTGAACCTGCTATATTCAGAAAATGCCATTTCATTTTTCTTTAGCTAGTTTCATTGGGTCTTTCTTCCTTTTTACCAAACTATTCAATAAATTATTCATGAAATTAATTTGGAAAACAATAGTTCTTTGATTTTAAAGTGTGTATAATTCATCAAACACTTTTGTAAGCACTGTTTCATTCTCACAACAGGGATGTGAGGTAAGCAGGGCAGGTATTGATATCTTCAATTAAAATAAGGAAACAGAATCTTGGAAAGCTGCAGTAATTACAAAGGCTCCTAAGACTTACCTAAGTAAAAATGGTGCCAGAGCGCAGATTTTGATGTGTGTTGGTTATGCCACCAAATTATTCCTGAACACACACACACACGCACACACACACACACACACATCAAGATTTCTAGATTTCTAGGCCACTTCATCCTTTATTTTTTAAATTAAAGCATGGTCACAATTATGGACACAAAACATAAAGATTGTTCTACCTTTTCTCTCACCTTCTCTGAGGAAACTCAGATTCCTCTCCAAAGCCACTGATAATTACAAAGCAGTCCTTCAGTCTTCCACACAGCTTCCCAGCTTCCCCTTTTTCTCTTCTAGCTTGCCATATGCATGTATTACTCTGTTGCTGCTGCTAGTGACAGTGCAATTGTACTGACAATGGTCATCACAGTGCTGCAGAGAGGTAAAGACCAGCTGTTACGGTTCTATTGGCACAGCTGATGCCCTGTGAGACTACCAGTGTGCACAGTCATTCTGTAGACATTGTCCTGGTGGCTGCCCATTCCTGAGTTTGAAGAAGCACATGTCTGCATATTAGGCACCTACAGCGAATGACAAAAGCTCTGAAAGTACCACTGGCAGTGATGAATGCAAGTGCTGTGGTCGGGGCTGTTTTCAGTTTCTGTTGTTGGAGATGCTTTCAAAACAAGGCTGCTGGTTCTTCAACATCTTAAAGGTAATTTGAGTGAAACAACCCATGAAGAACATATCCCACACTCAAACAAAGAAAACTGTGACACAAGTGACCTCCGTTGTCTCTGCAAAAGAAAAGCCCTGTGGCATTCAGGAGCAATTTTAGCAAATCATAAGCTTTTGTCATTCGCTCATTCAACAAATACATACACTCTTGATGTGGTAAAGCGATGAACCAGACAGATTCATTCCTTAAATCTGTTGAGTTTGAATTCTAGAATAACAAGTTCTGATAGCTTGCCACCTCTTTTGTTGGTACAGAAATGTTTGTATCTAACATTGTAACTCTGTAACCTGAAGAAGCCAGAAATCAACAGAAACATCTATGTCTATTTGAAAGATCCTGAGGGCAAAGAGGCTTTCTCCTTTTCTTTTTTGGACTCTGAAGGGAACATATCTCATAGACACTTCTCACACAAGTCATATAAGCAGTGGTCCAGCTTACTGGATAGAGAGAGGCCCTGAGTTTAATAAGTTTTCCATGGAGTAGACAAAACTCAGAAGACATCTCAGCATATGGTAAGGGAGTTCGTTAATAATATGCCTGAGTGCCTTGACTAAGGAGTTTGCCACAGAAGAGGCAAAGTGAAGTGGAGCAGTGTTAAATGGCTGACAACCTGGCTCAGACACACAGAGGATCACAGGCACATCTCAGGTGGTCTATAGCTCCAGAAGCATCAATCCTGGTACCTGGTCAGCCTGCCATACTTTTAGGAATTAGAATCAGTCTGAGATATACATCCTGGGATTTCTACCAGAAAACCCTTGCAGAATGCCAAAGGGCAGAGCAGTGGAACTTCAGGTGTCAACATTCTGGTTTTCAGCACAGATCAGTCATACTTAAGTGGAAGTCAGTGAGGATCCGGAGAACCTGCCTGGATCGAACGGCTTCCTCTCTCTTGCCCTCTTTCTTCCCATCACAGAAGCCACACATCCATACACATGCAGATGTCACCACAGAAAGAAACAATAGGAACATAGAGACAGGGGAAGGTGAAACCATTCTTAAAGCTTTATAATTCATCCAAAAGAGAATAAGTCAACTGAAGACATCGCTTAAATTGGGGGATAAGCCACATTATATTATATTAAGTTTAGTATTGTTTCACTACCATTGCGTGTGTGTGTGTGTGTGTGTTTGTGTGTGTGGGTGGGTGGGGGAAGGTATTGAGGAAGACCAGGTAATTTAGTACAAAAATTAAGAAGCCATATATTCTGTATATAACTTAGCATGGCTAAAACCAATTTGTAAACCTGTATATTATCTTGAACTCATAAGTAAGGAAATATATTTGTGAAATATCAATCACTGCTTTTTATCAAAGTTATATGTGAGCTATTATTTCAAATACATATTTAAGTTACATTATTGGCTCATTAAAATAAAATTGAAATCTAAATTATATTAGCAGCTTAACCACATAGAAATTAAAACTTCCAACCAAAACAATTTCAATATATTACTATTTATTCATGGCTATTATTATTACATATTCTCTATAATGTATATATAGATTGCTTATTATTATCCAGGTTACAGGTATATTTATGGGAGTATTAAGCTCTGAAATATTATTTATAATTGTCCTTTTTTAGTATCCAGTGGTCCTACCTGCAGCTCAGCTAGCTGGGCTACTCTGATGGTTCTATCTCAGGAAATAGATGCCCCAGCAGAATCTGAAACCAAGTAGAACTTTTCTTGGTATTTTTATTTTCTAAATATAGACTTTAAAGTCAATGTTCCTGATTTGCAAGAGCTATACTAGGTGAGCTCAAAATGTCTAAGCTCTAAAATCTCTAGGAAAAAAGTTTATGCCATAAACATCGACTGGAATAAAAAGCAGTAGTGACAGACTCCCTCCTCCTGCACATTCCCAAGAAATAAAAATTCAGATGACTAAGGGGAAAAACAGAGATACAGGTATGCAGGTCTTGGTGTAACAGAGAAAAAGAACCATGTAGACATGACTGAATTCAGCAATGAGGAACTATCTGTTCTCTATTGAAGTCACAACCCCCCATTGCAAGTTTCCAAGGAGCCACATGGGAGACAAACCCAGAGTCCTAGACCATCCCAAGAGCATCTACACCACATCACCAGTGCAGAGGGGGATATATTAGTATTTCTTGTCAACATTATTTAAAAAGGACTTCCCTTTCACAGAAACTAGAATGTTCCTCTTCAGTCACACAGTAGAAGTAACACCTGCCACAGCCTTCAAACATTGCTCAACCCTTTCAGAACTAACCTTCAAGAGCAAGCAGTCCTACCTGTTCAATAGCTCAGAGTCCTCGTAAACTCCTAAGATAGGAAATGACACCCTGGACTCTTGAACACCTCCCCTGAACCTGAAGTCCTACATTTCTACAAAATAAAATACCTTTGAAAATAGCACTTGACAGCTTGACAAGAGTCAAGCTTTAGTGAGTAGCAAACATCACACTGCTAATACATGTAGTAAAGAAGAGAGTGTTTGAGAGCATTTTTTCTTTAGAGAGGATTTGTTATCCATCAAAACTGCAAGTACTTCCAGTATCTCTAAGTTGATAGAGATGGTGACATTGGGAAAATCAGAGCTGATAAACGTCTTTTATAACTTCTGACAAATGCTCTCTCCATTTTTAAAAACTAAAATCCATCTTAGCATTGCTCTCTTTTGCTTTAGGTTTTTACATATACATTGTAGATGAGACAGTGAGTTCCCCTCCCACCTCCCTCAGTCCACCTTTGAAGTCATTGGCGTGCAGATTTTATTCACACCCACAGCTTTCTGCCTCTCTTTACCTTGGGCCACGTTTTGGCCCTGGGACTCTACTTGGCAGGAAGTTACTGCCACCAGGATTTCCTCTCCACCAAGGAATAGCAGGAGTGAGTAGCTATATAGCTCTATTTATTCCTCTCATGGTGAAATATTTTTACAGAATCTCTTAGAGGTCCTGGAAAGAACTGAGGAGTTTTCCATAACAGCAACCCACTTATTAATGCAACTTTTACTGGCTTCTCTCCCTTTTAGTCCTCACTTGTTCACTCCTTCAATGTGCTCACTTAGATTACCTCCCAATATATTATACACTTGTGTCCCAATCCTTGCTTTAACATTCACTTTTGAAGGACCCTAAGAAATGCACACTGTGGAGTATATTAGTCTGTTTTCAAGCTGCTGATAAAGACATACCTGAGATTGGACAATTTACAAAATAAGGAGGTTTAATGGACTTACAGTTCCACGTGGCTGGGGAGGCCTCACAATCGTGGTGGAATGTGAAAGGCACATCTCGCATGGTGGTGGACAAGAGAAGAGAATGAGGAAGAAACAAAAGTGGAAACCCCTTATAAAACCATCAGATCTCGTGAAACTTATTCACTACCATGAGCACAGTATGAGGGAACCGCCCCCATGATTCAATTATCTCCCACCAGTTTCCTCCTATGTCAAGTGGGAATTATGGGAATACAATTCAAGATGAGATATGGGTGGGAACACAGTCAAACGATATCATTCTGCCCCTGCCCCATCCAAATCTCATGTCATCACATTTCAAAAACAATCATGCATTCCCAACAGACCCCCAAACTCTTAATTCATTTCAGCATTAACTCAAAAGTTCACATTCCAAAGTATCATCTGAGACAAGGCAAATCCCTTCTGCCTATGAGCCTGTAAAATCAAAAGCAAGTTAGTTATTTCCTAGATACAGCAGCTGTACAGGCATTGGATAAATACTCCCATTCCATATGGGAGAAATTGACCAAAACAAAGGGGCTACAGGCCCCATGCAAGTGTGAAATCTAGTGGGGCAGTCAAATGTTAAAGCTCAAAATGACCTCCTTTGACTCAATGCCTCATATCCAGGTCATGCTGATGCAAGATGTGGGCTCCCACGGTCTTGGGAGCTACACCCCCATGGCTTTGCAAGGTATAGCCTCCCTCCTGGCTGCTTTCACAGGCTGGCATTGAGTGTCTGTGGCTTTTCCAGGCACACAGTGGTGCAAACAATTCTCGGGTCTGGAGGATGATGGCTCTCTTCTCACAGCTCCTCTAGGCAGTGCCCCAGTGGGGACTCTGTGCGGGGGCTTCAATCCCACATTTTTCCTTCCGCACTGCCCTACTAGAGTTTCTCCATGAGGGCTCTGACCTTGTAGCACCCCTCTGCCTGGATGTCCAGGCGTTTCCATGTATCTTCTGAAATCTAGATGGAGGCTCCCAAACCTCAATTCTTGACTTCTGTGTACTCACAGGCCAAGCACCATGTGGAAGGCGTGGAGCTTGCACCCTTTGTAGCCACTACCTGAGCTGTACCTCGGCCCCTTTTAGCCACAGATGGAGTGGCTGAGACCCAGGATGCCAAGTACTTAGGCTACACACAGCAGGGGGGCCCTGGGCCTGGCCCAGAACACAACTTTTTCCTCCTAGGCCTCTAGGCTTGTGAGGAGAGAGGCTGCCATGAAGATCTCTGAAATGCCCTGGAGACATTTGCCCCATTGTCTTGGTGATTAACATTTGGATCTTCATTATTTATGCAAATTTCTGCGGCCAGCTTGAATTTCTCCTCAGAAAATGTTTTTATTTATTTTTTTTTCTATTACCTTGTCAGGCTACAAATTTTCCGAACTTTCATGCTGTTTCCCTTATAAAACTGAATGCTTTTAACAGCACCCAATTCACATCTTGAATGCTTTTCTCCTTAGAAATTTCTTCTGCCAGATACCCTAAATTATGTCTCTCAAGTTCAAAGTTCCACAAATCTCTAGGGCAGGGGTAAAATGTCACCAGACTCTTTGTTAAAACATAACAAGAGTCACCTTCACTCCAGTTTCCAACAAGCTCCTCATCTCCACCTGAGACCATCTCAGCTTGGATTTTGTTGTCTATATCATTATCAGCATGTTGGTCAAAGGCATTCAACAAGTCTCTAGGGAGTTCCAAACTTTCCCACATTTTCTTGTATTTTTCTGAGCCCTTCCAACTGTTGCAACCTCTGCCTGTTACCCAGTTCCAAAGTGGCTTTCACATTTTCAGGAATCTTTTTAGCAGCACCCCACTCTACTGGTACAAATTTACTGTATTTGTCCATTTTCAAGCTGCTGATAAATACACACCTGAGACTGGGCAATTTACAAAAGAAAGAGGTTTAATGGACTTGCAGTTCCATGTGACTGGGGAGGCCTCACAATCATTATGGAATGTGAAAGACACATCTCACGTGGTGGCAGACAAGAGAAGAGAATGAGGAAACAGCAAAAGTGGAAACCTTTTATAAAACCATCAAATCTTGTGAGATTTATTCACTACCGTGAGAACAGTATGGGCAAAATCGCCCCCATGATTCAATTATCTCCCACCAGGTTCCTTCCACAACACGTGGGAATTATGGTAGTACAATTCAAGATAAGATTTGGGTGGGGACACAGCCACACCACATTATGGAGTCAATATATCTATGTATCACAATCCCAAAAAACTTGAATTGTAAGTAAAAGATGTAATGTGTTGATAAAAATTATCCCTAAAATAAAATATTGTATTATACCTTCTTTATTGATTTATTATGAGAAAAGAGTCTCTCTCTCTCTCTCTTTTTTTAACTTCATAAGGAAATTACAATGAATATCAACAGTAAAACTCAGGAAAACAAGAAACCTCAAAGACTAAGCACAAACCATTTGCCTGAGTATACTATTTTCCAGTGTTTATATTTTCCACACCATTTCCTCTAAACACATTGGTATCTATCTAAGCTGGATGTCTCTTATTTTCTAAAAATAGCTATCAGAATTGTCCTCTAAACCACTTTACAACCCTCCAAAGTTATGAAGTTGTCTTCAGGGTAAAGCACAAAGGAATGCAAGTTTTATTTTGTTGAGTTAGAGAGATCTGTCCTTGGGAAATGTTTGTTATGTTTAATTATATACCTGTGTGTCTTCATGAAGCACTCTCTCTGTTAAAGCAATATTGATGTACTTCCATTTCTATCTAGGCATTCTGTTTCACAGATCACTGTAGACATGACAAGCATTCCAAAGAGAAAAATATGTAGGATCAAAAGTTAAAAAAAAGCACCAGTTCCTGTTTTTATATTTTTGCGTCAGTGTATTGATAAAATATGAAGGAACAACAGTGATTTTTTACGTTGTACACTCTAGAGTACTTAAAAGTCGCGAGGTGAAATGAAAAAAAAATCAAATGAAAGCAGTAAGTGCATATTTGGACCAATTTACATAGCTGTACACCTGGGGCTAGCTTGCCCTAGTTATGATGGACACTTGTCTGTTGGTTCTTTCTTAAATTCATCTTCACTTATAGAGCTAAGAAGGCACTTGTCATTCCAACCACATCTAATGCCATTCAGAGACTACAACAGAGAATAAACGAAGAACAAATACTGAAATTGGAAAGCAGCTGGCATAATTCAAGGTGAATCTCACACAAGGGAATAATCTGTCTTTATAAGAAGGTAGTGTAAACAATAGCTATAATTTGTGTCAGGGCATATACTTGAGAGCTTTCAAATTGCCTGGTGGTAAAAATGGGAATGCTGCTAATAAAAATGATTAAGGGGGAAAAAATACTGAGGGTAACTGACTGGCTAAGACATTTAGTAATGGAATATGACACTATTTGCTTCTAGGTCACTGGTTCCAATTCAGCCTAAATCAGGAGTGGCTGAAAGCTGTGATCATCTAATGTGTTCTTGGTGGCCTATTTGAAATAGTGTGATGGTCTTAGTTCAGGGAAGACTAGTCTGTTGCAGCCATAAATATATCGGTATCAGTTATAACCTTTCAACACTTTTAGTTGTCTTGAAATTACTAAAGAATGGGCAAATAATGCTTAGGGCCAGATTCTGTTCGGATCTTTCTTACCAAAACTTCAATGTTATCAAAAAAGGCCCCTCAAACCTGAATTTTCCCTAGAGACCTTGAGGGTTAATTGGTGACTTTGGATTGTTCCATGTGGCAACTCCTAGTTTCATAGTTTGCATTTTGATGGAAAAAAATAAAAAACAAAACAAAAAATAGCATTCTGTCATGTAAGAGGGTGTTTGAAAGGAACCTGCAATGATTAAGGGTCTTCTCTTGTTTTATCATTTTTTAAGTTGCTTTAAAAGCATAGCTTAGGTTTCTGGATAACCTTAGAAATGTGACAAAACATAACTTTCTAAAAATGTTACACAGATTTCCTCTATGCTTTGTTCAACATTCATTTTCTCTAGAAAAGCATCAAGCTTGAAAAGTATTGACTAGCAGCCACATAAATGGGTAGTAATACCACAGGAAATTAAATATACCATTTATGGAATACATGCACACAACAGCAATGTAGTGTTTACCAAACCCTGGAGAAGCAGCAGGGAATTTTGTTTGTTATTTTAAGTCAACAATATTTACTTCAGCTCAAGGGGAGGAAGTTAAACTTGAAAGAAAGTAAACAATAATGAAGACAATTATTTTTCAACTATGAATAAAAATATTTCAAATAGTTATCAAGTTTTAATATACTATCTGTATTTATGGCATTCCAGATAAGATTTGCATTTTGAAGGTTTTGGCAGTTTATGTCATTGTGAAGTAATTAAAAGGAATAATAACAGATCAAAGGAAGTCTGTGTCACTGAGATAATGCTGCGTGGACTTTGGTGTCCAAATAGCTTGGAATATTGGCTCCATCATGTGCTACTATTATTCTCTTAAGTGAAAGAGCAATCTCTCTAGCATCAATCTTCAACTGTTAATATATAATTCTATGAAAAAGGCATAACAGTATAAAACTTATTTGGCTCTTGTTATGCAGAGAACATAGACTATTAATATTTGCTTCCATTTAAAAATGAAATTATATGTATTATAAAATATTATATATGTACTGAAAATTGTCTTCAGTATCTAAAACTTGAATTCAAGATACTAATTAACTTCCATTATAAATGCTATACAGACATTTACTGTTTAACATGAATTAAATAAACAAACAGTGCCTAAATAAAAGCCAAACAAACAAAACAACAAACCAATAAAGATAAATAAGACCTGGATAGCAATGGAACCTCTGGAACTCCTGGAGAGCAACTTAACTCCTTCTGTTCAGTGTCTCATAGCAAAGAGACAGATACAAGGTACAAGATGAAGATTTCAATATTGTTTTTATTTTGGAATAGCCCAATAACTACCAGTAATGCTATTTGGTAAAAAGTGGCTACAACCTAAGGTCAAAATTACAGTAATTTATTTCCTCCTTTTCAAATCGTCTTTTGGTACAGCTGAGGGTGCAAAGAACTTTGCAAGTACAAGTATCAGAGGATTAAGGCATTTTACAAACCAGGTCACTTAATAAATGGCAAACCCTTGGGCTCAGGAAGGAAAGATGGAGTCTCTGACTCAGTTACGGTGGTTTCTGCTGTCATCACTACTAGTTATGGGATTGTATGAAAAACCACTTAACATTTCTATACCTCAGTTTCCTCCTCTACAAAAAGGAGATAACTTAAGATGTGTTTCATAGGGTTGTTGGAAAAATTAAATGAGTTAACATGTAAATACTTTAGAGCAGGAGTCATTGTCTTCTTACCTACATCTGAGACTGACCACGTGCGGGAAGTGTGGGGATGGGACATGTTTCTCTGATTTGAGGTCTCAGACATGAGTATGGTATTTGGACTGATAGGTATTATAATAACACTCGCTACAATGTGAAAGAGTGAGTAAGGAGTGGAGAGAAAAGCTACAAGTGCTCACTGGCTTTTTGACCTTCTGTGGAGTAAAAGAGAGCCCTAGTCTACAAAAACGTAAGAAATGAGAGATATTTTTGCCCTTCCTCCCCAAATAATTATTTCGTTAGCTTTCAAAAGTTCCAATGTAAAAGTATTTTGAAAGCTTCTAAAAAGAAACTCTTTAGACTTTGTGAAATACAGCAACTTGCATGCATACGTCATATTTCTCTCTGTATCTTGGGAACAACGAATACGTGTGGACTTTATAGAATGGAGATAGAACCTGAAAAAGGAGAATTCCTGCCTCGCTCTGCCACACTTTGCTGAAAAATTCCAAAAATAGCATCTGAATATGAATTTATATATCAAGAATTCCACTTACTTCCTTGAATAAAGATACAGGAAGTTTTTTCAAAATATTAAGAACCAACAACTCAGTAAAAGTCCTGACAAAGTGCTGCGTAGTTCTGCAGTATGACTTAAAAATGTATCCTTTTAGAATTCACACAAGATTAAATGGATTGAAATAATAAGGATTTGAATCATTTCTTCTAGGATTCTTGTGGGGAAAAATTAAAATAATCGATTTTCTATAGGCAAAGGCAGAATCCTTCTGGTAGTGAAAGTTGACAGCAGTGACTGAGTTTTCAAAGCTTTTATATGCATTGTTTTGTTTGATCATTCTAAAAGCTTTGGGAATTAAGGCGTTGTTATCATTTTTGTTTTGTGCAAGAGAAGAGTTAGCCTCAGAGAGCTGGTTGTGATTGTTCCTGCTCACACAGCCACAAAGTGGAAGAGTCAGCAGTCAAACCACAGGGCTCCATGCCTCCTGAAGCCTCTCCATGCTGGCACTAAGGACTTATGATTTCACTTTCACTTTTTAAAGAATTGGATCTGATGTTTTTTATTTTGTGAATATCTATCAGAAATTACAGTGAAAACTAACAGAGGGTCATTCAGTTCATCATATATTTATGGTATAGCTATTATGCTTTTTGATAATGCACTCTTTTTATAGTTCTCAGGTACATAAAATGAAATCAGCCTACACTCTATACTTGCCTCTGTGAATAACTGTTTATTTAGCATTTCAACTACTGCTGTTCCTATGGCAGAAATCTAGGGCTAAATATATTCTGAATGGAAAACTGAATTCACGAGGCTATACACTAAAACAAATAAACTAGTGAGCCAAGTAATAGCTCTTGTTTAACATAGCTACAGGTTATTCCAACAATATCTAAGCACTTTGGAGTTTAAAAAGACCTGTTGCTATTTCAAGGTATTTCTATTTTGTACACAGATTTGAAATATTGAATAATAGATTTATACCTTGGAGGAGCTTAGCACAGGTCATATACTGACTGGCATGATGTTGAAGGATGCCCTAGTGAAAAATCCGCAGCTTATTGCATTTCCACTCTATCTTCCAAAGTCATAAAATAAAAAGTCTATCTTCTTGCCATATTTGTAAATTACTGTTCAACATTCATTGGTAAAGTTGAACAATCTTGAAAATATCTTAATTTTAGAAATCTAGCTACTTTATAATTGGTCAAATAAATCAGTCCTATAAAGGAATATCTTGTTTTATTGTATTTTGCTTTAGTGAGTTTCATATATATTGTGTAATATATATACATATGTATTTTTTTTTTACTAATTGAATGTTTGTGGCAACCTTGCATCAAGCAAGTCTAATAGTGCCATTTTTCCAACATCATGTGCTCATTTCTTGTCCCTGTTACATTTTGTTAATTCTCTCAATACTTCAAACTGTCTTATTATTATAATATCTATTATGTGATCTCTATTAGTGATCTTTGATGTTACTATTGTAATAGTTTGGGGGCATCATGAAACATGCCCATGTAAGACGGCAAACTTAATTGATAAATGTGTGTTCTGACAGCTCCACCAACCAGCTGTTCCCCTGTCTCTTTCTCTCTTCTTGGCCTCCCTATTCTCTGAGATGTAAAAATATTAAAATTAGGTCAATTAATAACCCTACAATGGCCTTTTAATAGTCAAGTAAAAAGTACAGTGGAACATTTTTGGCTTTCAATTAGAAGCTAGAAATAATATGATTAAGTTTAGTGAAGAAGACATATCAAAAGCTGAGGAAGGCCAAATGCTAGGCCTCTTGCACCAGAAAGTTTGCAGAGTTGTGCATGCAAAGAAAAAGTTCTTAAAGGAAATTAAACGTGCTACTCCAGTAAACAAATGAATCATAAGAAAGTGAAACTGCCTTCTTTTGAGAAGCGTCTGTTCATATCCTTTGCCCAGTTTTTGTTAGAGTTGTTTGTTTTTTATTCTAAATTTGTTTAAGTTCCTCGTAGATTCTGGATGTTAGACCTTTGTCAGATGGGTAGATTGCAAAAATTTTCTCCCATTCTGTAGGTTGCCTGTTCACTCTGATCATAGTTTCTTTTGCTGTGCAGAAGCGCTTTAGTTTAATTAGATCCCATTTGTCAATTTTGGCTTTTGTTGCAATCACTTTTAGTGTTTTTGTCATGAAGTCTTTGCCTAGGCCTATTTATGTGACCAAAAAACATATGAAAAAAAGCTCAACATCTCTGATCATTAGAGAAATGCAAATAAAAAACAGAATGAGATATCATCTCATGCCAGTCAGAATGGCGATTATTAAAACGTCGAGAAACAATAGATACTGGTGAGGCTGTGGAGAAATAGGAATGCTTTTACACTGTTAGTGAGGATGTAAGTTAGTTCAACCATTGTGGAAGACAGTGTGGTGATTACTCAAGGAATCATGAGTAGATTTTCTCAAACAACAAGGCATAAGGTCTATTTAGCCTTCGGATGGGAAATAAGACCTAGAAAGGCCCCCTTAGTCCTGTGTTATTCTGTCTTGGAGTGATTTAAGCAGGGCTGCTTGGGTTGGAAGGTTAGACAGTATTGTGAGAGCACTTTCTCAGTCTTAACTCTTACCACTTTATTTCTAGTATGCAAAATGCCTCCAGTACAGCTTGAATAAAACTGGGTCAAAGAATAACCATACCTTAAAGTACCCTAAACCACTACTTGCTTCTGATATTTATCTGTAAATCCAGATCAACATGATTAATTCATTTTTTTATTAGAATGTTTTCTCCCTCCATTGCTCAATCTCTCAGTAATTTGGCTTTTGTCAGCCTCTACCTGCCTCCCTACCTGACCCCATGTGTTTGCTGCCAGACCAGTTCTCTACATCTGAGGTCTAACTGTGGGTGTGATTAGGGTCCCTTCCTTCAGCCTTGATTTCATTTGAATATGTGAAATATAGTGCGGTTGTGTATGCGGTTTTTGTCTATTGTGAATATAGCTGATGTGAATATCCATGTACAAGCCTTTGTGTGGAAATGTGTTTTTATTGCTCTAAGGTAAATTCCTAGGAGTGCAATGGCTGTGGTTTATTGTGGATGTATATTTAACATTTCAATAAGCTGCCAACATATTTTACAAAGTGATTGTTCCACTTTTACATTTTGAAAAATAGCATATGAAAGGTTCAGTAGTTTCACGTGCACGCCAACACTTGGAACTGCCAATCTTTTTTGCTTTAGCCACTGTAATGGGTATACAGTAGTATCTCATTATGATTTGTATTTTACCTTATGACCTTAGGGTGAGCATCTTTTCATGAGCTTACTGGTCATTCAAGTAATTTCTTTAGTGAAGTGTCCGTTCGCATCTTTATGCCAATTTTAGCTGGATTATTTGTCTTATTATTAGTGAATTATAAATTCTCCTTATACCATACCATAAATACATGTTGCTCCTCAGATATATACTTATTGTAATTATATTGCTATAAATACATGGCATTCCTCATACCATATATTTATTTCAATTAAAGTTTTGGCACTAAAGTAAATCATTTTCTAATTATTTGCTACTATGTTACTATGTATATCTATTCTCACATTATATGGCTTGCCTTTTTTTCCCTACATCTCCAATTTTTTTACTTTAAAATATTTAGTTGACAAAAATAGGAATATATACAAATAACCATATAACATTGTGATTTTATTAATATATCAAATCAAATATATTTGATTAATATATTCAAATCACCATATAACATGGTGATTTTATATACATTAATTAACAGTTTTATCACCACCCGCAGTGTACCTTAGATCCCCAGAAGTTGTGCCTTTTTGGTACCTTTTGAGAAGGTTAATGTTCTAATAATTTTCATGAAGTACACTTCATCATTTTTTGTTTTGTGGTTTATGCCTTTTGTGCTCTGTTTAAGAGAACATTTCCTAATTAAATGTTGTAGAGATTTGTCCTCCTTTAAGTTTATATTTCTACCACTTACAATTAGGTATATGATGCATTTTGGGTTGATTTTTTTTATTTCGTGTGGCAAGGTTTGATGACATCATCCTCATGGCTAGCGAGTTGTTTCAGTACTATTTGTCGAAGACTTTTCTCTGCCCATTGAATTGCTTTGGAACCTTTGACAAATATCAATCGATTATATATGTGTCCACTTTTTTTCATTGATTTATTATTGTGTTCCATTAACCCTTTGATGTATCTATACTTTCACCAATGCCACACTATTTTGATTACCGTAGCTTTATAGAAATTCTTCAAATCAGATAATGCATGTCTTTTAACTTTAAAAATATTAGTTTGGCTATTCTAGGTTGTTTGCAATTTCATATAAATTTTAGAATCACCTTGTCCATTTCTATAAAAAGGGTTGCTAGAATCTTGATTGAGATTATACTGACTGTACAGATCAATTTAAGGAAAATTAGTATTTTGAGAATGCTGGCCATTTGTATCCATAAAAATATTAAATATATTTATTTAGGTCTTTTAAATTTTTTTCAATAACTATGTCTAGTTTTCAGTGTATAGGCTTGCATACCATATTAAATGGACTCCTAATTTTTTCATATTTTGGCATTATTATAATAGAATATTATTTATTTTATTTTCCAAATATTTTCTCTGCTATTATATACAACTGCAAAAGCTTTTGCATATTAACCTTATATCCTACAACTTTGAAAAATTCATATATTACTTTTAATAGTGGTTTTATAGAATACTGGGAATTTTTTATGTAAACAATCATGTCCTATGCAAACAGAAATAATTCTATTTATTTCTTTTTAATCTGTATGGTTTTTATGATATTCATTTCCTACTGCAGTGACTAGGACCTTCAGTACAAGGTTGAATGGTAGTAGTCAGGGCAGACATTATTGCTTTATTTCTGTTCCTGGGAGGACATCTTAAATATTCACCCTTAAATATGAGGTTATCTTTAAGGTGCCATGGTGGTTTGCTGCACCCATCAACCCATCATCTACATTAAGTGTATCCCTTAATGCTATCCCTCCCCTAGCCTCCCACCCCCCAGCAGGCCACAATGTGTGATGTTCCCTTCCCTGTGTCCATGTGTTCTCATTGTTCAACTCCCACTTATCAGTGAGAACAGGTGGTGTTTGGTTTTCTGTTCCTGTGTTAGTTTGCTAAGAATGATGGTTTCCAGCTTCTTCCATGTCCCTGCAAAGGATATGAACTCATTTTTTATGGCTGCATAGTATTCCATGGTGTATATGTGCCGCATTTTCTTTATCCAGTCTGTCATTGATGGGCATTTGGGTTGGTCCCAAGTCTTTGCTATTGTAAATAGAGCTGCAATAAACATACGTGTGCATGTGTCTTTATAGTAGAATGATTTATAATCCTTTGAGTATATACCCAGTAATGGGATTGCTGGGTCAAATGGTATTTCTTGTTCTAGATCCTTGAGGAATCGCCACACTGTCTTCCACAATGGTTGAACTAATTTACACTCCCACCAACAGTGTAAAAGCGTTCCTATTTCTCCACATCCTCCCCAGCATCTGTTGATTCCTGACTTTTTAATGATCACCATTCTAACTGGCATGAGATGGTATCTCATTGTGGTTTTGATTTGCATTTCTCTAATGACCAGTGATGATGAGCTTTTTTTTATGTTTGTTGGCCACATAAATGTCTTCTTTTGAGAAGTATCTGTTCATATCCTTTACCCACTTTTTGATGGGGAAATCAAAGAAAAATTTAGTTTTATTATTTGTGAACAATTTCTCATGATTTTTACATATAAATTTACAACAGTATTTCTAATAGGGACATTTTCCACTTGAATTTGCTTATTTTTTTCTAAGACTATGTAATATTTTTTGACAACAGGGACAATGACATATTTGTATTTGTTTTCTAGTTTTTAACATAGTGTCATGTGCAGTAGCATTCAGTAAATGTTTATGTAAAAGTATGAATAAATGAACTAACAGAAAAGTCAATGATAAGACCCACGATTTAACAAATTTATTACCCCATGTCACAGCTTTTTCAGGCATAACATGAAATAATGCATAAGTATATTATCCAAGTTCCAGGCAGCTTTGAAATCTCTTGAAATATATTTATATTTCACTAGTTTGGTAATTTGGGTGTAAAAAAAAAAAAGAGGAGAATTAAACAGCAATGACTCTTTCGGCCATACTCCACAGTCTCTCATTCATACAGATTTTAGTCTTTTTTTTACCTTCTTATTATCTTCAGGTAAGTTTTAGTACAGTAGTCCCCCTTATCCATGAAGGATATGGTCCAAGATGCTTAGTGGATGCCTAAAACCATGGATAGTTCCAAACCCTATAAATATTATGTTTTTTTCTACACATACATACCTACGAAAAAGTTTAATTTCTAAATTAGGCACAGTAAGAGATTAACAACAATAATGAAATAGAACAATTATAATAATGTACTATAATAAAAGTTATGTGAATGTGGTCTCCTTTTCTCTCAAAACATTTTATTGTACTCTATCACTTATTTTTATACTGTGGTTGACTGTGGGTAAGTGAAACCGTGGAAAGTAAAATTGTGTATAGATGAGGGGTACTAATGTCCACAAGAATGCCTGTATGGCATTCTGGATCTGTGGTAATTTTATATTCTATGATTTAATAATAAAGTTTAGAGATTAAAAGGACTAAGAGGAGATCTAATCAAACTCTATCACTGCACAGGACAATTAATTGAGTCTCAAAGAAAATAAGTGTTTTTCTACCTCTGTAAATGACTTCTTGTCAAATACAAAACCTTTGAGTAACAACATAGTAAGGCTAGGAAAGGTGATAAGAGAACTAAGATAATCGAAGATTTCCTCTTTTTTCTCATTCTCATTTATCTCCTGGAGCAGAAATATTAAGAATATTAATACTGGAAGAAGAGATTTATAAAATAACTCTATAGAACCCTTGAGGGCATAAATATGTCAATCAATGTAAAACCTTTAAAATCAGGTATATGTCCCCCTCCTCTGTGTTTTTTCTACAGTTTAAGATTAGAAGATGTTTTCTAATTGCTTCGTCTTTAAAATTTAACTTATTCCAATGCCAGTGTCAGGGCTTCAAAGAGCCCATATTTCTTACAAGTAAGTCCCACCATGAATTTGAAATGATTCAATGTTCTTGTGACTTCATCTGTGTATATGCGCACCCATATGTATACATTTAATTATTATTCAATGCAAAAGTTGTTTTATATCTCTGAAGCAAACAACAAACTTCCTTCCTTGAGCCATAATTTTTACATTTAATACATTTATTTATCTCTGTTTTTCTCATTTCTATAAGAGAAGGAAAATAGATGACTGCACTTAGAGCTAACCTAAGTCCTGCCTATACCTTTTAACATTGTCATATTCCAAAATAAATTCATTTTACTTAATTCCCTCTATAATTAATTGAATAATCTTTCTGAGGGTTTACTTTATAAAATAAGTAAAAAGAGGGTCTATCTCAGTTATCCAATAACTATGTTTTGTTACACAACTAAGTCTTGAGTTTCCACAAATGAGTAGGAATAACTGGTCAGGCAGCTGTTTCCTGTGAAGCAGAGAAGCTCAATAGCAGTATGCTGATAATATTAGTGGCAGACAATTAAATTGTTCAATTTGTATCTATTTAGGATTTTGCCTATCTTTAATATAATCTGAGAGCACTTTTAGTTGTATCACATGTTATTTGAGAGTGCTTGGAGAAAAATAAAAACGGACAAAACATCTTTTTAGTTTAATAGCAGTATTGTGTATATGAGAGATGAAAATAGAGAGGGTAGAGGCAAATGAGAGAGAAAGGACCTATTTGGTCTTAAATTTTACATATATTTTATAAGTAATCATAATCTTTCTGTTTTTACTCTAGAAACAGAAACAGAATAGGATTAATCTTTTATTTTTGTAAATGAAATATTTTCTTAATCTTTTATTATAAGAAGTCATTGTATAATGTTTACAAGACTTCGACTGTTTCTAAGAAATGTTCTACGAATATGTATTTTAACTTGGTCCTACCTGTGTGTCAAATTATAGCTAAAAGGGAGGAGGAAGGGTTAGAAAAGAAAAAGATAACTTGTGAAGACTAGAAATGAGAGACTTGGCCGGGCGCGGTGGCTCACGCCTGTAATCCCAGCACTTTGGGAGGCCGAGGCGGGCGGATCACGAGGTCAGGAGATCGAGACCATCCCGGCTAAAACGGTGAAACCCCGTCTCTACTAAAAATACAAAAAAATTAGCCGGGCGTAGTGGCGGGCGCCTGTAGTCCCAGCTACTTGGGAGGCTGAGGCAGGAGAATGGCGTGAACCCGGGAGGCGGAGCTTGCAGTGAGCCGAGATCCCGCCACTGCACTCCAGCCTGGGCAACAGAGCGAGACTCTGTCTCAAAAAAAAAAAAAAAAAAAAAAAAAAAAAAAAAAAAAAAAGAAATGAGAGACTTGCGTGTACTTTGGATTCGTATTAATAGTCTAAAAGTTAAATTATTTACACATATTTCGAACTCTTTAACCATGTTCTATTATTTGAACTCAATTATCATCGGGTTTAAGTTGGGTTCTTATTAATAAAATAGGTCCCTTCAGAAGGCACATTAGTGCTTTAAGTCAAGAGTATATTAATAGTTTTGGGAGGCCGAGGCGGGCGGATCACGAGGTCAGGAGATCGAGACCATCCCGGCTAAAATGGTGAAACCCCGTCTCTACTAAAAATACAAAAAATTAGCCGGGTGTAGTGGCGGGCGCCTGTAGTCCCAGCTACTTGGGAGGCTGAGGCAGGAGAATGGCGTGAACCCAGGAGGCGGAGCTTGCAGTGAGCCGAGATCCCGCCACTGCACTCCAGCCTGGGCGACAGAGCGAGACTCCGTCTCAAAAAAAAAAAAAAAAGAGTATATTAATAGTAAGTATATTATGGTTATGTCCCACGTTGATAGATGTCAATTGTTCATAGGCATGCAGATGGTGAGCGGCAGAGCCTGGCTTTGATTCACGCGGTGTTATTCTGAGTCTTTTCCCCTTATCAAAATATTATACTGTCTCCCACATTACAGAAATATTCAATATTACAATTCTGTGGTTACATTGCCATTAACTTCTTTCATAGGAGTTATCTTTGTTTCTGCATGTGTTGGTGGTTTTAGAGTTGTCATTCCTGTGTCTTAAGATACACATTTGGGAACTTAAAAGAGAGGAAAAAATAAACAATTCTGATGATCAGCCATCTTTGCTCCATAATCATCTATAGTAAGAGAGAGGGCTGTCACTGAAAATTAACTATAATCAATTGATTTAATCTTAATAATTACCAAAATTTAAATTGCACTTAAAAATAATCTTCAAAATATATTTGCCAATTTGAGTAGATATGTCCTCAATTTCAAAAATAACCTCTGAGTGAAATTTGTATACAAAGTTAACAATTAGTCAGAATTAACATATTGCTATGAACATAGGAGCTCAGATGAAAGTAGTAAATTAGGAAAATAGTGTAATTAATTTTAATCACTTACGATGGACATTACAAATTATATTTCTATTCCTGGGGAAAAATACTCCTTAGATTTTCAATTATAAAGAATAAATAAAATTTTATGTTGATGTAATTTGGATAGATGTCCCCGAATAAATCCATTGATGTCCTATGGCAGAAAATAATTGACACATAAATTAATATTGAAACAATATAGGGAATGCTAATCCCTAAAGAAATAACATCAAGAGAATATATGTTTGATAGCTTTCTGGAATGAATCCACTTGTCTCTTTGGAATTTTTACTAAAACAGAATTTAAAAATGAGATAGTTAAGGCATGGCTTAAGGATAAGTAATATGTGGAAAGATATCCATAAGCATCTTGCTTTTTATAATTTATTTATAGTTTCCATGTCTTTTTTATACATGATAAAATGTGTGTAAAGTATCTGACTTCTAGTTGGAACTCAGTTGAGTTAGTTTTCGCCATTACATATTTTATCATTTTCAGAGCCCTCTACTGTTTTTATTTAAAATAACAAGTGCTTTAAAAACATGGCTTATTTTACTTTCTACGAGCCACTTTATTCAAAAGTACTGATTGATTTGTTTACTCTGGTTGTTAGAGAAATGCAGAGACATTTTACAATATTACTATGAAGACAGTATACTTTGCCCAGTGCACCAAAATGTTTATTTTTCTAACAATTTCTGAAATCTTATCATAAACAACCATTTGGTTTATTATGAAAAGACATACATTGCCATTAAAATGTAATCACTTCTTCTTAAAATTTTAATATTAAATTACAACTCTGATATTATCCTGCTGCTTTATATAATTTTCACATTTTCTTTTAACTTTTTTCAAGTCCTAAGCCAAATTTACTGATCCTGAAAATAAATTCACAGGAAAGTGAGTTCAAATAGTAGTATCTACATTTTAGGCATACAATCTACAGATATAGGATAATTGGATTCCTCCTCCTTCTTATTCACTTCAGCAATTGTGAAAGCATAGGTCTTATTTTCAGTTCTGACCTATTGATTTAATAACATGTATTACTGTGATTCATTAGGCCATTACTTATCTTCATTTTTATTTATTAGCACAGTGTCTGAGACAATGATGGGCTAAGGATGCTACTTAAGAGCAAGCAAATTCTTGGAGAGTTGGTTTGGCTTCCTTCTCACCTGCTTTCTCTCTTTTTCTTCCTTTTAAAGCTTTTTATGTTAAATTTTGAGCTAGCAGCTGCATGTTTGAGCATGAATTTCTTGGTTTACAGTGAAATATCACATCCCTTAGGATAATATTGCTTTGAAGAGGAGATGACAGAAGTCCTGTTGGTTTCGCTTTGATGCGAATTATAGCCCCTGTATCCTTCAGTTCATGTCACATTTGTGAGTTGCCTGACTATATATTCCCAAGATAGAGAAAAAAACTTATTTTAACCTCAAAGGAAAAATAAAAATAACTCGGTAAATGCCATCTTTTTCCAATAAAAGTGTACGCCTACTCTTAAATTGAACTCCATTTATGTTGCCATAAACTACCCATTTCTGCTGCTTCGGTGAATTCTTGAAAGCCTAAGACTCTTAATTCTGGGTGTCATATGATGACTGAGGAAAAATGTCAATAAAGTATAAGGAAAAGCAAGGATTTAGTTTCAAGGCTTTTAGAATTAGAAATACTAATACTGATTTGGCAACATTTTTGTGGAATTTGACAGTTTAGCATCTGACAAAGTAACTGGCAGACATTTTAGGTGATTAGTAAAGTGAGTGGCAAAGGCCTTCATGGTTGAAAAACCACATCTATTCCCAATCCCCTTTTCCTTTTATTTTCCTACTGTAGAGACTAGAGATACTAACTAGTTACCTGTAGCTTGATTAATCACGTGATAACTTTCTGGTGAGACATAAGCAAAATCGACTCAATGGTTTCCAGGAAAGCTTTCAATTTCCTGATAAAGGGGCTAGACATTTGCTAGGGTCTGAACGTCTGTGTCACCCCTCACCAATTCACATGTTGAAATCCTACCCCTTAAGGTGATGGCGTTAGAAGGTGGGGCCTTTGGGAGATGATTCTGTCATGAGGCTCTGCTCTTATGAATGGGATTAGTGCCTGGATAAAAAAGACCCCAGAGTTAGCTTGCTCCTTTCTTCATATGGGACACAGAGAGAAGGTGATATGAGGAAACAGGTCCTCACCAGACACTGAATCTGCAGCCACCTTCATCTTGGACTTTCCACCCTCCAGAATTGTGAGCAATACATATTTGTTGTTCATAAGCCACCCAGTGTATGTTACAGCAGCCTGAACAGAATGAAACAACCCTACTACTCCTTCTGTCCCTCTGTGCTTTGAATGGCATGTAATACTTGAAACTTCATGAGTCATTGCTTGAACATAAGAGAAAGACCAAGGGAATCACAGAGAACTTGTGTTGATATGTGTAATAGACCTGGAGATGTGCCCTCCAAAACCCGCTTCAAGAAGGACTGGCTACTACCTGTAGAGAGTGGGATCCACAGACAGCCTCCAACATCAGCCCTTCAGGATCCAACTCAGCTGCTGAGAGCTATCTGGTTAAGGCCACACTCTTGGAGGGACAGAATGACATTTAGTTTATGCCTTGAAATGGACCCGGCCATTTCAGGCCAACACAGGACACTCTCATAGGCAATGTATACTCTAGCTCCCTGCTAGGTTGGATAAGCTTTTGTTGGGTTTGCATTGCAGTTTTTTTCTATCTAATCTTACTTCCTCCCATTTATCTTTGTAGGTGTGATCCCTACTAAACATCTTACATCCCAATAGTCTGTCTCAGCATCTCTTCTAGAGAACCCAACCTGTAAAAATGAAAAAAAAAGAAAGAAAAAGGTGATAATCACCTAGTTTCAAACATTTTGCTATGTGAGAAAACAATTTATTCAAACCACAGTTACTTGCAAAGTTTACAGATGCATGCTGCCAGATTGTTTCTAGCTGTTATAGTGGCATAGCTTCAATTTTTTTCTTAACCATTTTATTTAATTATCATAAGAAAGTAGTAGTATTTATATTATCTTAGAGGGGACATCAAATATCATTTGGTCTAAAGTCTATATTTTATTAATCAGAAATCTGAGGCCCAGAAATATGGAAAAAACTTTCGGTAGGCACGAAGCAAGAGCCCAAAAAGAGGCCACATCAAACAATTTATTTAATGTTTTCTTCATTCTTGGTATATTGTAACTTCTCCATTGCTTCCCCACACTTTAAACTGTGGTCTAGAGCAGTTGTTTTCCAGTGTGATTTTAAACCAGCAGCCTCAGCATCATTTAGGAACTTGTTAGAAATTAAATGCAAATTTTGGTGTCCTACTATGGATATATTGACTCAGAAATGTTAGCAGAGAGGAAGCAAAACCAAATAATATGTGTTTTTACAAGTGCTTCAGGTGATTCTGATTCACACTAAAGTTTGTGGACTAATAGTTTAAAGAGAGATCTACTGCTGATAAGAGAAGCAGAAGGAATTAGGCTCTAGTCCCAAGTCACCTACAAAATGGTAGTGTGGTCTTGAGACTGCCACTGCTTCATTGTACGTTAGTTTGCTTACTCTTTATACAGATGGTTGAACCAAATCAAGGTTTACAAAACATTTTTCGGCCGGGCATGGTGGCTTACCCCTGTAATCCCAGCACTTTGGGAGGCCAAGATGAGTGAATCACCTGAGGTCAGGAGTTCGAGACCAGCCTGGCCAACATGGGGAAATCGTCTCTATTAAAAATACAAAAATTAGCCGGGCGTGGTGGTGCGCACCTGTAATCCCAGCTACTCTGCAGGTTGAGGCAGGAGAATCACTAGAACCCACGAGGCGGAGGTTGCAGTTAGCTGAAATTGAGCCACTGCACACCAGCCTGGGCGACGTGGGAAGACTCCATCTCAAAACAAACAAACAAACAATAAAAAAGATTTTTAAGGCAAATGACCTGTATTATTAAGGGTTCTCCAGACAAACAGAACTAATAGAATGTGTAAGCGTGTATGTGCGTGTGTTTGTATATGTGTGCGTATAATATCAAAAACTAGATTTGAATTAATTGCATTCTTTTTGAAACATGTTGTAATATAGCAGTAGTTGCTTTGTCAATAAATGATTTTTCCAATTAAAGAGTAGTTGAAAGCTTGTGTGAGAGAGATATATGAAGAAAGAGAGAGATTGAAAGGAAATTTATTTAAGGAATTGGGTCATGAAATTGTGGAGGCTAGCAAGTCCAAAATCTGCATTGTGGGTAAGCAGACAGGTTGAAAATCCAGTTGGAGCTCAAGTCCTAAGCCAGCCTGGAGGCAGAATTTCCTCTTCCGTGGGACCTCATTTTGTTTTCTCATAGGCCTTCAACTGATTATATGTGACTCACCCGTACTGCAGAAGGTAATCTGCTTTACTCTAAATCTATTGATTAAAATATTAATCTCATCTAAAAAACTAACTTCACAGAAATATTCAGACTATTGTTTCTCCAAATAAATATCTGTGTACCAAGGCCTAGTCCAATTGATACACAATAGTAACCATCACAGGACCCTTTGTTTGAATGAATTAAACATTATGTTGAAGCCTGGTATATGAAACAAATAAAAGCTCAATGGTTGAAGCAAGATGAGTTCCTAATATTTCTTGTAATCAACACCTCCCTACTCTCATACCACCTCACTTTCCATTACTGGGCATTAAGTGACCTGACAAAATCCATGAAGATTTATTGATGCACCATTTAAAAACCACATAAATACCTGGATAATGTGGCTGCTTTCAGCTCCTGAGAAACCAATTGACGTAAAAAGATATTGCCAGGAGAGCTTCAGAAGGCAATTCACTTATACCAAATTTTTAAAATCTTTGTAATTGATTTGTCGCTTGCCTAAAAGTATGACAAAGCTATGCTTATCAAATGCTTTTCCCACCTAGGAGCATATTTATTAAATATAGTAATTATCTATTGTCACTTACTTTATTCACAGTTCTTTGCTAGGTTTTGTTCTGATAAATTTTTAGAAAACTCATTTTATAAAAATATGGCAAATTTTTATTTAATCCATGTATAAATTTTTATAGATGTCAAATAAATGGGGTAAGAATCAGTAAAATTTTAATATAATTATATGGCATTTCTTAGTGGTATGGAAAATGCCAAAGTTACAAATCTTTACATTAAATCAAGCACTCCAGACACAGTAATCAGTTAGTGTGGAATTAAACGGTAGTGCTTTTTGAAATAAAACTCTTTTGTACCTACATTTTTAAGTCATTCTGCTTGTTGTGTCTAAACTGATACCAAAATATCTAAGAGTGTCCACATGAAAACAAAATTCTGCCAAGTCATCAGATATTCAATGTCTCTTACATGAGAATGCAAGGCACTATACAGATTAATCAGAAATAAAAAAAAAAACAAGTTTGAATTAATTATATTCTTTTTGAAACTTTTAAATATAGCAATAATTGCTTTGTGTATAGATGACTTTTTAAATTAAAGAGTAGTTGAAAGCTTGCTAGATAATGAAATTAATAATATTTTGCTATGATTTTTTAAAAGTTTCTTATTAAGATGAGACAAACTGGATTCTCTAAGAGTGATGTTTAAAATGCTATTTCTACATACTATCTCTAACCATAAAATACATGGCATGTATTCTTCCTTTTCATTAGAGATGAAGGAACAGAAATTTGAAGAGCTCATTAATTTCATACAACTAGTAGTACAGAAACCTGGATTTGAACCCAACTTTACCCATGGAGTTTCTAGGTCTGGTTCTACCAAACGCTAGCAATGTGACTGAACAAATTGATTACTCACAGCTAGGGACAGAGGAGATATATAAGAAAGAAATGACCTTTTGAAAAGAGATGAAGTAGATTAGATCAAGATGTCAAATTGAACATATTTGTCCACCTCACATCTCATCTCCTGTTTTCTTGAAATAATAGAAAGTACAATTTTAAAAAAATAAGCTTATCGGAGCTCCATTTCTGGATGGCATTGTGAGGAGCTTTGCAGACCCATTCCTCAGACACCTGAACAAAGCTGTTGGGATGATAAAACTAAAAATAAAAAATAGTATCTTGAAAATGGTCTAGGGATATACAGCAAATGAGGAAATACTTATTCAAGAAAACAATAGAAGTTCTTAATTCTCTCAGTAAGGACAGTGGGAGACTGTGGCATTTGAGCTATGTGACCTTCTGCTTCTCTTCATCCACAAAGCTCAGCCAGGTGAAAGTTCTTCCTTGGATAGGTGTGGCCGAGAGGATGGGGCTCCCTCTCCCCTCAGCTTCTAGTCAAGTTGTATCATACCTTTCCAAGAGACACAGAGACACAGGCTATCAGTACTTCTCATCCATTCCAAATGCAAGTTAAAAATGTTTGACTCCTGTTGAGGGCTAGCTAGCAGGCGGGGGACTTCTGTTCCCATTTTACCCACAGGACAGAGGCTTCACTTCATGTACTACAAGCTGAGAATACTGGGACTTCTATGGTCCAAACACAGCTTGCTCTTAAAATAAAGGCTCCATGTTGGAAGAGGTGAGCCAAGAAGTCCAGAGGCTACTGCCTCACACAGAACCCAGAGTAGTGGCTCAGAGAGTTTGCCCAGAGAGAGACATGGTCCGTAGGAAAGGAGAGCTCTTTTCTATTGAAAATAACTGTCTTCACTTTCTACATATGGCTAGCCAGTTTTCCCAGCACCATTTATTAAATAGGGAATCCTTTCCCCATTTCTTATTTTTGTCAGGTTTGTCAAAGATCAGATGACTGTAGATGTGTGGTGTTATTTCGGAGGCATCTGTTCTGTTCCATTGGTCTATATCTCTGTTTTGGTACCAGTACCATGCTGTTTTGGTTACTGTAGCCTTGAAGTTTGAAGTCAGGTAGGATGATGCCTCCAGCTTTGTTCTTTTTGCTTAAGATTGTCTTGGCAATGCGGGCTCTTTTTTGGTTCCATATGAACTTTAAAGTAGTTTTTTCCAATTCTGTGAAGAAAGTCATCGGTAGCTTGATGGGGATGGCACTGAATCTACAAATTACCTTGGGCAGTAGGGCCATTTTCACGATATTGTTTCTTCCTATCCATGAGCATGGAATGTTCTTCCATTTGTTTCTATCCTCTTTTATTTCACTGAGCAGTGGTTTGTAGTTCTCTTTGAAGAGGTCTTTCACATCCCTTGTAAGTTGGATTCCTAAGTATTTTATTCTCTTTGTAGCAATTGTGAATGGGAGTTCACTCATGATTTGGCTCTCTGTTTGTCTGTTATTGATGTATAAGAATGCTTGTGATTTTTGCACATTGATTTTGTATCCTGAGACTTTGCTGAAGTTGCTTATCAGCTTAAGGAGATTTTGGGCTGAGACGATGGGATTTTCTAAATATACAATCATGTCATCTGCAAACAGGAACAATTTGACTTCCTCTTTTCCTAACTGAATACCCATTATTTCTTTCTCTTGCCTGATTGCCCTGGCCAGAACTTGAACACTATGTTGAATAGGAGTGGTGAGAGAGGGCATCCCTGTGTTATGCCAGTTTTCAAAGGGAATGCTTCCCGTTTTTGCCCATTGAGTATGATACTGGCTGTGGGTTTGTCATAAATAGCTCTTATTATTTTCAGATACGTTCCATCAATACCTAGTTTATTGAGAGTTTTTAGCATGAAGGGCTGTTGAATTTTGTTGAAGCCCTTTTCTGCATCTATTGAGATAATCATGTGTTTTTTGTCTTTGGTTCTGTTTATGTGATGGATTACATTTATTGATTTGCATATGTTGAACCAGCCTTGCATCCCAGGGAAGAAGCCGACTTGATCTTAGTGAAGCCGACTTGATGAAGCCGACTTGATCTAAGCTTTTTGATGTGCTGCTGGATTCGGTTTTCCAGTATTTTATTGAGGATTTTTGCATCAATGTTCATCAGGGATATTGGTCTAAAATTCTCTTTTTTTCCTGTGTGTCTGCCAGGCTTTGGTATCAGGATGATGCTGGCCTCATAAAACTGGATCCCTTCCTTACATCTTATATAAAAATTAATTCAAGATGGATTAAATACTTAAATGTTACACCTAAAACCATAAAAACTCTAGAAAAAAACCTAGGCAATACCATTCAGGACATAGGCATGGACAAGGACTTCATGTCTAAAACACCAAAAGCAATGGCAACAAAAGCCAAAATAGGCAAATGAGATCTTATTAAACTAAAGAGCTTCTGCACAGCAAAAGAAACTACCATCAGAGTGAACAGGCAACCTACAGAATGGGAGAAAATTTTTGCAATCTACCCATCTGACAAAGGGTTAATAGCCAGAATCTACAAAGAACTTAAACAAATTTACAAGAAAAAATCAAACAACACCATCAAAAAGGGGGCACAGGATATGAACAGACATTTTTCAAAAGAAGACATTTATGCAGCCAACAGACACATGAAAAAATGCTCATCATCACTGGCCATCAGAGAAATGCAAATCAAACCACAGTGAGATACCATCTCACACCAGTTAGAATGGCAATCATTAAAAGTCAGGAAACAACAGGTGCTGGAGAGGATGTGGAGAAATAGTAATGCTTTTACACTGTTGGTGGGACTGTAAACTAGTTCAACCATTGTGGAAGACAGTGTGGCGATTCCTCAAGGATCTAGAACTAGAAACACCATTTGACTCAGCAATCCCATTACTGGGTATATACCCAAAGGGCTATAAATCATGCTACCATAAAGACACATGCACACGTATGTTTATTGCGGGACTATTCACAATAGCAAAGACTTGGAACCAACCCAAATGTCCATCAATGATAGACTGAATTAAGAAAATGTGGTACATATACACCATGGAATACTATGCAGCCATAAAAAAGATGAGTTCATGTCCTTTGTAGGGACATGGATGAATCTGGAAACCATCATTCTGAGCAAACTATCACAAGGACAGAAAACCAAACACTGCATGTTCTCACTGATAGGCTGGAATTGAACAATGAGAACACTTGGACACAGGGCGTGGAACATCACACACCGGGGCCTGTCGTGGGGTGGGGGGATAGGGGAGGGATAGTATTAGGAGAAATACCTAATGTAAATGTTGAGTTAATGGGTGCAGCAAACCAACACGGCACATGTATACATAAGTAACAAACCTGCATGTTGCACACACGTACTCTAGAACTTAAAGTGTAATTAAAAAAAAAAGAAAAGAACTGTCTTGATTTGAAACAGAGTGTGGGGAAGTTTAAGCCAAATGGTGCTCTCAAAAACAGCTGCTCCTCTTAAGATCAAGAAACCAAGCAATTGGTCATTTAGTTTACTAGAGAGAACCACTGAAAGATACTGCTTAAAAGCGCCCTTCTGAGGACAGTAAAAGGCCTCAAAGACAAGCCTAACAACTACCACTTTCCAAGTTTAATTAGATGAGATTGCTAAACAATTTATGCCCCAGAGCATTGTTGAAAACAACAAACCAATCAGTCCATATTAGTGGAGTCTATTGGGCAGAGTATAATACCAAATGAAACAGATGGCTTAATAGAGAGATCAGAGAAACAGACAAAGATAGAATGGTAAAATCATTGTCACCCTATGGTAAATGTATGCATATACAAAGCTGCCTTCTCAGGGGAATAACACCAAAACTTCACACTGCAAGAGAAAGATTTACTAAAGTAGCTTACTTCAGTCAAAACAAAACCAAACAAATAAAAACCAACCAACCAAAGAAACAAACAAAAACACAGGAAAACAACAACAACAACAAAACGAGTCTAAAGAGAAGGGAGGAAAATCAATATCTGGAGTTTCTGCAATATAGTATGTGAAATCTCCTGGAACTTAGCAAAAGAAATTATGAGACATGTAATGTGTGACCCATACACAGAATAAAAGCAGACAACAGAAATTGCCTGTAAGAGGGCCCAGATATTATATTTAGCAGACAACGATTTGAAAGTAGCCATTATAAATATGCTCAAAGAACAAAGGAAAACATTCTTAACACATTTATGCCTGAGGTTGCAATTTTTGGAATTTTTGCAATCAGACCTTTGTGATGGCCTTGAGCAGTAGGATATAAATAACTCCCATATGCTTAGCATTCCAATAATGGTACACTAGGCATAAATGGTTAAAAGCGTAAGGAAAAGTGTAAAATCAATAGCTCATAAAAATAGAAAATGTCAATAAATGTATAGAAATTATTAAAAGAACCAAATTGAAATTCTGTATTTGAAAACTACAAAAAACTAAAATGAAAAATTTATTAGAGAGTTCTATAGTGCATTTGAACTGGCAGAAGAAAGAATCAGTGAATTTAAAGACAAATCCATAGAGATTATGCAATCCAAAGAATAAAGGGAATAAAGAGTGAAGAAACATGAATAGACCATCAAAGAAATATGAGCTACCTTTAAATGCACTAACACATTTGTAACTGAAATATCAGAAGTAGAGGAAGAAAGAGAAATGAGCTAAAAAAAATGAAGAAATAATGGTTGAAGACTTCACAAGTTTGCTGAAAGACATTAACATATATATCCAAGAAGCTCAACACACTCCAACTATAATAAATTTTTAAAAAGGTGCACCCAGGCAAATAATAGTAAATATACTAAAAGATTAAACACAAAGAGAAAAATCTTCAAAGCAGCAGGAGAAAAATGATTTGTCACATGGAAGGGAACCCCAGTAAAATTTACATCCAACTTCTCAATAGAAACAATAGTGGCTAGAAGGTAGTGTATGACATATTCAAAGTATTCAAAGAAAAACTCAACCAAGAACCTTATATCAAACAAACTATCTTCAAAAAGTAAAGGCAAAATAAAGAAATTCTCAGATGAACAAAATCTGGAAGAGTCTGTTGCTACAAGACCAACCTTACAAGAAACACTAAAAGAAGTTCTTCAGGCTGAAAGCAAGAAAACAGAGATTGGAATTTACAGAGAAAATAAAAGTTCATCAGTAAGGTAATTACGTAATTTAAAAAGATAGTAGAAATGGGCCAGGTGCGGTGGCTCACGCCTGTGGTCCCAGCACTTTGTGAGGCCAAGGCGGGTGGATCACGAGGTCAGGAGATCGAGACCATCCTGGCTAACACGGAGAAACCCCGTCTCTACTACAAATACAAAAAGTTGGCTGCGCGTGGTGGCGGGCGCCTGTAGTCCCAGGTACTCAGAAGGCTGAGGCGGGAGAATGCCATGAACCCAGGAGACGGAGCTTGCAGTAAGCCGAGATCGTGCCACCGCACCCCAGACTCCACGCCTGGGCGACAGAGCGAGACTCCGTCTCAAAAAAAAAAAAAAAAAAAAAAAAGAGATAGTAGAAATGCATTTTTTTCCCTTAACGGATTTAAAAATTAAATAATTAAATAATACATGTATAATTGTATTGTTGGGCTGATAACATACAGAAATGTAATACATTTGATAAAAGCACAAAGGACGTGGGTGGGAGCAGAATTGTATTGAAGTACAGAAATGATGCCAGACGGTTACTTTGACTAACAAGAAAAAATGAATAAAACCAGAAATGGCAAATAAAAAGATAAATATAGCAAACTGTAAAATGTATACTTGCTTTTCTTTCTTCTCTTGCTTTTTAAGAGACATATAATTATACAAATCAATAATAATAACAATGTATTGCTGGGTCTAAGATTGTGTGTGTGTGTGTGTGTGTGTGTGTGTGTGTATGTGCTTATCTGTAAGTATATGCACAAAAATGGGGAAGAAAAATAAAATAATAGAGTTATATAGAAATACCATTTCTATATCTTACTATATCTATATATCTGAAATTAAGTTAGTATAAATCTGAGGTAGATTCTGATAAATTAAGATGTATATAGTAAACCCTGAGGGCAGGCAACCACTAAAAAAAAACTAAAAAAACTAAAAAAAATAGAGAAAAATCACTAAAGGATTTAAAATATTATACTAAGAAAATTCACTTAATGCAAAAAAGCAATAGGAAGGAATAGACAAAGAAAAAAGACATGAAAAAGAGAAAACAAAATGTAAAAATGGCAGCTGTACATCCAACTTTTTTAATGGGAAGAAACATTTCATGCAGAGGAAAAAAGATGAGGACAATAGCAGATTTCTTGTTTAAGACAATGCAACATAAAAGGCAATTTTATGTTTTATAATATTTTTAGAATACTGAAAGAAAAAAAGACAATCTAGAAGTCTTTTTCTAACAAAAATACCTTTAAAAATGAAAGTGTAATAAAGACTTTTGTAGACATACGAAAGCTGAAGAAAATCATTTATAAGAGATCTGAACTATAAAAATTGCTAAAGAAAATTCTTCAATCAGAAGCAAAGTGATAGCATATTTAAATCTAGATCTATACAAAAGAATAAAGTGCATGCACCATGTAAGATAACTATGTTAGTTAATATAAATTAATTTGGGTTGTTATTTAAATCTCTATGAAAGATCAGTTGTTGAAATCAAAATAATAAGAATGCATTGTATCATAAAGTTTATTATATTTGTAAAAGTAAGATGTCTGCAAACAATAACAAAAAAATCAGGAGAATAGAAATGAATGTTTAGTCTTGTAATGTTCTAATTCAAAAGGAGAAGAGGTAATATTACTTAAAGCTATACCCTGATAAATTAACACTAAATATTTTAAACCCTAAAGCAAACACTAAAATAACACAAAGTATAACCAATAAGCCCTAGATAAAATGAATCATATAAAATAACCCAAAATAAGACAGAAAAAAATAGGTCTTTTTTAATAGAAATTGACAAGCTGATTTTAGAAATCATGTGAAAATGTAAGGAATCTAGGGTAGCAAAGTTATAATAATAGATAACAGCCTTGAAAGATAAAATTAAAAATAAATTTGAAGAACTTATACTGCCTGACTCCAAGACTTATTATGTATATATACAGATATAATAATCAATACAATACTGTATTTTTGTCAACATAGACAACTTAATGAATGAAACAGAATATAGAGTCCAGAAACAGAACTACTCACATATAGTCAATTGATTTTCATTGGAACATTAAAGGCAATTTAATGGAGAAAGGATAATATTTTCAACAAAGTGTTCTAGAATTATTAGATATTTACATACCAAAAAATTTAAGCAAACAAAAAAAAAAACCTTGTTTGGTAACTTGCATTGTATAGAGAAATTAATATAAGATGGATTATAGGAAAAGATGTGAAACTTAAAACTATAAAACTTCCAGAAGAAAAACATGGAAGAAAGCCTTTATGATCTTGGGTTAGGCAATTATTTCTTAGACCAACACCAAAAGCATGTTTCATTTAAAAATAAATAAGTTGAACTTTATCAAAATTCAGAATTTTCACTCTTCAAAAGACACTATTATGGTAATAAAAGAGAAATTTCATACTGAGGGAATATATTCACAAATCACACCCAGTAATGAATTTGTATTAACAACATATAAATCATTGTCAAAAATTATGAATGCAAAAACTCACAGGGCAATAGAAAACTGGCAATTTGAATAGATACTTTACACACAGTATATAAATATATAAAAACATGCTCTACACCATTCATTAGAAAAATGCAATTAAAACCATATGTGGTACTACTATACATCTATTAAAATGCCTAAATTTAAAAGAATGATTATACCAAGTGTCAGTGAGGAAGTAGAACAACTGAAATTCTCATACACTGTTGGTAAGAAGGTAAAATATAAGCCTATCATATGTTTTCTACTTCCAGGTATTCACACATGAGAAATGAAAGCCTATCTCTACACTTTTATAAGAATGTTCATAGCGGTTTTAGTTGTCATAGTCCTAAACTAGAAACTACTCATATGCCCATCAACAGGCGAGTGGATAAACAAATTGTAGTATGTCTATACAATAGAATGGAATTCATCAATAAAAAGGAATGAGCTATTGATACTCAGCAACATGGATGGGTCTCTTGCTATACTGAATGAAAATAGCCAGACAACAAAAAAGAGAACATAATGTAGGTTCCCACTTATATAAAATTTTAATAAATACCAGCTAATCTGTAGTAACAGAAAACAAATTGGTGGTTGACTGAGGATGGGGAAGGAATATGGAGGGTCAGAAAAGAAAGATTTCAAGGGAGAATGAGGAAACTTGCACTTTGTCATGATTGTGTTGATGCTTTCATTAATGTGTACATATGTCAAAAAGTGTCAAGTTGAACATTTTATATATGTACAGCTTATTAAGTAAATAGCCACAAAGCTGTTAAATATCTTTTTGAATGAAGTCCAAGATGTTAATAAATTGTAAAAACTGTGAAGCAAAGAATTGCCCATTGGAAGAATTATAATAATAAAGTTCTACCTCATATCAAATAAAATAGTAATAATAATAAAATTAAATATGAATTGACTAATAAATCCAAAAAAGGGAGAGATTGTTAGACTGTACAAAAAATAAGATCTATCTGCAGGAGATGCACTTGATATTCAATGATACAAATTGGTGAAATGATGAAAAAAGATACCGTGCAAACAGAAATCATAAGAAAGCTAGAGTGACTGTATTGACGTCAGGCAAAACAGACTTTAAAAAACCACTTACTTTTTCTAAATTTCGGGCTTTTCTTTTTCAAAATAGGATGCAGTGGGGGCAAGGAGATGATGAGAATTTCTGTCCTGCATATGTCATAGAGTGGTTATAAGACTCACAGTAAGTTAACATTTAAAAAGACTCTGTAAAATATTAAGACAATATGTTAATAGCATTGATAAAATATACAATTTAAAGCCCTTACCCAAATGGAAAAATTTTTGGAAAATGGCTTATTATAATCCTCCACCCTGATATGGCAATCCTTATTTCCATTTTCTTTGTCTGGAGAAATGTGAACAAATACATGTCTCCTTATATCATTAAAGAATGATTTAAGAATGTGTGGGATTATGAATACAGCATCTCAGAATCAGTTCCTCTCAGGCTTGCAGGGAAATTAAGCCAAATGAGTAGAAAATTATAATGAAAACATCATTAAAATTTGGATTTAAAAAATAATTCTTGAAATATTTACTATATTACTCTGAACTATAAATTCAAAAATGTTCAAGATTTAATATTATTTGTTCATTCATTGAGTTCTTTCAAATATTGTTGAAATATTATATGCTTTGGAAAGTATAAAGCTATTTTAAGTGGATTTCTTATTTTAGAAGAGTTCTGAAATGAGCAAACTCACAGCTGACCTCATTATGTGACAGCTACTTTGTGTGTTTTAGAAAGATTATTATTATTTGAGTCTAACAGAATAAGAAGCAGAATGTAATATAAGGAATAGAGTTACCTATAGAAACTATTAAAGCATTTTTTCCCTGAAAGACTCACCAGTGTATTCAGTTACTTTCTTATTTTATTTTATAATTTCTTTGATGTTATTAAGGATATCAATACTTCAATTAACTGTGAATGTTCCTACTCATATTTTGATATTCTCTTTGCAAAGTGTTAATTATAAACAGTATAGTTTTGCATGTAAATCACAGCTAAAAGAAACAAAGAGAAACCTCCTTTCAGCCCCACTAAATTTAGGAGCTGTATAATCTTAATACTCAAAGTGGTTGAGATAATTGCATATCTGCAAAAGCAATTAATTAGTGGGTAAGCTGGACTTCAACTTTGTTCCAGTGAAGCTTCATTGAATGCTTAGAAACAATACAGACGGCCTCTTTTCTTCCCATTTTTCACATATGCACATGTATTTATTGTTAGGTTCAAAGATTTACTCAACTACATTCAAATGTCCAAAAGTAATGTAGTTTATTTTGTGTGTTACTGCTATAAATTTCCTTACAATCCCACACTTTTCAGTATGGTGGAAAAAAATCTAAATTTTCATTCAGTTTGGTAAATATTGTGGATGCAACAATTTAAACAGTCCTGTTACATAAATGGTTAGTCTCTTTAAAGAAAAATGCTCAGATTTCTACCCCTGCTTCTTTTCAAAATAGTATCCAAGTGTGTTGGAGAGTGATATGCAATGAAAGGAACTCATGACTCCATATAAATATAGTGTGTTCTGAATAATCTTTGAATTCCATTGAGGAGTGGATGATCTGGGCTCCTCCTGCACTCCTGTCCAGAGGAAATAGGGTGGACATCTCTTTCTGAAGACTGAAGCTGGTACAACTCATGGTCTGTTCTTTTGCTCCCCTTATCTTGACAGAGCTTGCGAATCCTCTCTGGTTGACATGGCCTCATATAGCTCTTCCTGGTGCTGGGAAGTTTGCTAAGGTTTTGGAACCATAAGGAGCAAGCCCAGGTAGTCAGCACACTCTACAGTCCTTTGCTACAAAGACCTCTAAAAAACTTCCTAGATTTTAAAACTTTTCTTAAAATTGCCAACTATAACGATTTCTAAAAAATGTATATAAAACATGAATAGTTTGAAGGATTATAAAAGAAAGAACAATGTACCCACAACTCAGATTAAAAAAAAAACAGAGCATTTCCAGCACACTTAAAGCCCCTGTGAACCTGTATAAAGCACCTTTCTCCTCCAACCCGCAGAGGCAACCACTATTCTGACAATGGTGGCAGTTAATTTATTGTTTTCCTACATAGCTTTATTACTGAAATATGCATCCCTAAATGATATAATTTAGTTTCATTTTTCCTGTCTTTAAATTTATACAAATACAATCATATTTTCAAGTAAACATTTGTGTCTTGCTTCTTGTACTTAATATTATATTTGCAAAATTCATCCATGTTTTCATACATAGATCTAGTTTATTTCTTCATGTTTACTGGATTGTATCCCATTGCACCTATATGTCCAATACATTTTAAAAGTTCATTTTATTGTAATTGCATTGTATTATTATATCAAACTTAATTTTACCTTTGATGGTCAATTTTTTTTTCCAATTTTGGACTATTATAAATGATGCTGCTAGAAATATTCTTCAAATGATAAATGGGATGTTTTGAAACCTATTGTCATTACAAGGAAAATAAATGGACTGAAGAACTGAACTCTGATGCCACTTCAGCTTAATTTGTGTTATATTCACTTCAGTATGAATGAGCCTCAAAAGCTAGTACCAGGGATGTATTTGAGATAATCTCCCAAAGTCCTAGATATTAAGGTGGATCTCTTGATCTCGACATTTACCTTATATATAAAAATCTCCTCACCTGGGTAACTACCTGTACTAGTCTGTTTTCACACTGCTGTAAAGATATACCCCAGACTGGGTAATTTATTAACAAAAGAGGTTTAATGGATTCACATTTCCACATGGTTGGGGAGGCCTCACAATTATGGCAGAAGATGAAGAAGGAGCAAAGGCACGTCTTGCATGGCAGCAGGCAAGAGAGTGTGTGGAGGGGAACTGCCCTTTATAAAACCGTCAGATATTGTGAGACTTATTCACTATCATGAGAACAACATGGGAAAAACCTGCCCTTATGACTCAATTACCTCCCACTGGGTCCCTCCCATGATACATGGGGATTATGGGAGCTACAATTCAAGATGAGATTTGGGTTGGGACACAGCCAAACCATATCACTATCTCACTGCTTCATTCTCATCTCTCAATATCCCTTATGCATTTTGGACTGCACAATCACCCATCACAGTGTGGCAGTGGCCTTAGGCAGGGCTTCCACTACTAAGAGTATGTATAGGTTCCCTTTACCCTCTGAATATTTTCTGAAAATCAACCAAAAAGGCAGATTAATAGGAGAAAAGGCATACAAAAATTTATTTACATGCACACAAGTGCATGGGCATTATAAAACATATAAAAACTCAAAAAAAGGGCCAGATGGTTGACATTTTTATCCCATATTCATGTTACCAAAATAATAGGGGCTTGGAACATGGCAAGGTAGTTTATGGGAGGGGTAGAAGGGCTGTTACGGGTTACTGTCTACAGGACTTCTGAATAGCCATCTCAAAATATGGCAAAGTATATTTTGGGGTAAAATATCCTAAATTTTGAGTTCTCTGGATGTTTCTTAAGCCCCTTTTTCCTATTCTCATAGGTTAGGATAAAAGTGTAAGGTGGAGGTGCTAGGGCAAGTATGCTAGTACCTGACATACTTATTTTCCCTTTCTCTCTCATTTTCTGAGGACCCCCTCACAGTATTTCAGTATCAGAAATGCTGGCTGCAGGCTTTTGGGCTTTCTCTTGCTGTAACTCCTGTTTTCCAACCCCTATGGCAGTAACATTATACCCTACATAGAAGTGCATTTCCCTTATACTTAAGAAAATAGAATTACAATCAAATCTTCTAGGCCAAAGGTATTTAGAATTCTTTATCCCCCAACCCTTATCAACATCTGTTTTTCAAATCTGTTGTCTTGCTGGGAAATTCAATCTGACAGTGAAAGCTGAGGCTGGACTACTTCTTCTAGAATGTGTCAGTATTTTCTCTAAAGCATGAGAACTCATTGCTTTTAATGAGTGTGAAATTCACCTAGCACCTATTTATAGAATATTAACATTCAAGTGAAATGTTTCAAAAATATTTTTCTCTTCTAGTTTTATGGGGCTGGAGGTGGGGGAGGTGGAGAAAAAGAGAGATTGCTATGCTTCGTCTTCTGAGCTCACTCTTTTTTTGTAAATTGAGAGGTCCTGTCTAGAGAAACTAACTGTTGTAGGTGAAAACTTCTTGTGAAGACTATACAAATTCCATATGACTTTTTAAATGCTTTAACATATTAGAATTCAGAACTGAGAACAGTGTGAATTTATAACATAGCTATTTTACTATTTAAATATGCCCAGTACATTTTGATGCATAAGGGATAGCATTAGATTTAGGCATGTAGAAGTAGGGCATCCTGTAACACACTAGATGAGATGTAGGGAATTGCTTTAAAAATATCTTGCAAGTCTAGAGAGTAATAAATAAAATTCATCCTCTGAGGAATCTTTCTCTGTTGCAAAGTGGGACAAAGAGACAACTATCAAGCTTTGTCAGTTCCTGAATTATTGACTGTATCTCAAACCAGTTTTACTGTAAGCCACTAATCTAGAGTTTCAACTAAATAAAGATGCAGGTTAGAAAAGAAAAAAGCCAGATGGAACTGAGATGCAAATGCCAATCTGAAGTGAAGGTATTTAAGGTGGACAAAACACTCTTCCCCATTAACCCAGCAAAAAGGAACACTGACCTACCTTACAAAAAAGAGATAGCCCAGGGATTTTCTACTTTACCTAATAGGAGAAACAAAATGGAAAATTTCACAGCATGGGAAGAGAACTTTGAATCTAATTTCCACCTACACAATAGATTTGGAACATAACTAATCATCAATATAATTAAAAAGATAAATTAAATTGGAACATGCAATAGAGTTTGAGATCACAGTCTAGGAAATATTTAGTAAACTCAGAAAATTTAATAATTAATAACGGAAGAATCATAAAATGTATGCACTTTCAGAAAAAAAAATCATGATTTTGGCATATTCTGCCCATACTTAACAATTTTGCCTTTAATAAAATAACAAGAATTGCCAACATGGAGCAATTAGGTCAGACAAACTAGGAATTAATTACTGTAGACAGGCCCATATGTCACAAAAGCATTGCACATGTTCTCCAAGGCTTGCTTGGAGAGGGAAAGATTTATTCTGAGAAAGTTCTTGAGATAGTAAAAGGGACATTGCTGCAAAAGTTTGAATTGAAAGTGACTTTGAAGAATTCAAGTCATGAAGTCAAAAAGTTGGATTAAGTATAAATTAGGTAGATTTTCTCCAGTATTTATTCAATTGCTTAAAATAAATCAAGAAATATCTAAATTGTGTTGCTTCAGTAGCCACAATGTTTTTGAGGTGTGCCAGGAACCAAATTCCAAGATGTTAGTCATTTGATTCTAGACATCCACAAGTGAGTTCAAACTGATACAGAGAAATGATTAGCAATTCACAATTCTTTGGTTGCATAGACATGGTCTAGATTAAAGTTATGGCCCAGAATTTGGTTCCAGCATCGTTTATAAATCAACCTCTGTGCTTTTGCTTCCTAATATTCTCCAATGCTAACACTTTAGTCCCTAAAAACACTGTCAGTTTTTATGTTGATATTATTTTCCTCACTAAAACATATCATAAAATTTGAAATATGCATTTTTACCAAGAGAAGGAGTAAAACTATTTTTAATTTAAATGAAACAAAATAAACAAAATAATTTTTTCCTTAAATTAGCCTTTGTGTAAATTAAGCTTCATGGTTCCAGACTGAAGTCTACCTCAACCCTGATTCCTAATTCTATTGACTCATTTCCTGGGATATGTATCTCATGACATAATATCCCTGTTTCTTATATGAGATCTTTGAGTTTTTTTATTTTCCAAAAGGTCCATATGTGGAGGGAAAATTTTAAAGAAGAGTTTACAAACTTACATGTCTAAGGGGACCCAAGCAAGTAATGCAATTGCGACCTGGGACCATGAAAACCATACAACTACAAATATAAATGATAGACAACATCTAGACTCACAGTAGAGACACAATAAAGAGTGGAAGGGACTGTGGAACACAGGAGGCCACTTGCTGATAGTCTTAATTGTTGTCCATAATAAAATATGGTCCAGACCCTGATTTTACATAAAATTTTATATTTTATATCTTGCAATTAATTCAAACATCAAAACATAAAGGACAAAGCAAATCTATTTGGCCAAACAAAAATATTTTGGGATTGAATTTAATATGTTACCAGACAGCTTGGGACTTCTGTATGGCATAGGAAATGGTTTTTCTTTTTTAAAAAATGTTATTTTTACACTAAAAGAGTGGTTCTCAAATTTTAACTTGTATCAGAGTCATCTGGAGACAGTTATGAGATAATATACAGGATGTGTCCCTATTGAGTTGGAATTTCAGACTGACTTCTTTTCTATAAATATGATTTAACTATTGCATGGAATATGCTTATATTTAGAATTATTTGTTGTTTATCTGAAATTTAAATTTAATTGTGAGTCCTGTACCTTTATTTGCTAAATGTGACAACCCTACCTGGAAGACTGTTTAAAACACAGATTGCTGGCTCCATACTAAGAGTTTCTGATTTAATAGGTCTGGAGTAGACGTGAATAATTTGCATTTCTGACAATCTTTTGCAGAGTGTTGGTGCTGCTGGTTCCTGGAACATACTTTGCAAACCACCGCCTTAAACTAAACAAATATTTGGGCCAATTTATTTAAAAAATAAAGTGGTTTCCATCTTTCTTTTTAATCAAGCATTTGTGTATATAGAGATTGTCTGTTTTTCCTGATGACTCAAGGGTAGTCCTAAATCTATATCCATGATTTCATCTTACTTTAGACTCAGAAGGATTTTCTTCCCTCTCCTGTTTCCAGTAATAGCTGCTAGGATCTTTGCCTAGTACCTATATTTCCCTAGTTATTTTAATGTTTGACTATAAAGTTTCAGTGGCTGAGTTTAGCCTTAAAAGACAATGACCTCCTTGAAACAGTTAAAAATGACACTTGCTTTCCCTGTGCCATCATCTATTTTTCCCTATAAAATGTAAATGAGATGTGTTAACTTTTATTTGAAGAGGTAGTAATGCCCTGGCATACATGAATCAATTATATTAATCTGGCTATGCCATGAATCAAAAACTTTTCAGAAAATTATCAAAATTCCATTGCTAAAATTCAACTTGCAAACTATATGTTAAATCTTTCTGAATTGTATATGTTTTGTTATAAGCTATCTTGATTGGCAACATCATACTTCATTCTAACCAGGTGTTTTTGTTGGCGTCCACTCTGCTTGCAGCCATTTTTAGTCCTTGGCAAGAGGGCAGGAGGAACACTAGGCTCTTTTGCCTCCAAAAGTCTATATTATTGTTACCCCTGCAATCACATTGCCTTGTTGCTCATTGTCCCTGATTTGTTGCCACAGCTCTTGCCTAAATCCTGCCCACTAGGGAGAATCGGAACTGTATTCTGCACAATTTTTTTCCTGATCCCTCACCTAGATCTCTGAATCTTTGCTTCTGTTTCCCAGTCCATGTAATCATCTGCCTGTTTTCTTGCCTCTGCCAATCCCCACAGCTGGAGTTATTTAGCCACCACCTGCAGCACATTTTAGGTTTTCATCACACAGCCCAGAACCAGAGTACTGTCCCTGAGCCTCCAGCCTCAAGACCTGTTGCCAAGCCCACCACCCCACCTCCACCTGTGTACAGAACCTCACAATTGTGTAGGCTGCAAAACCACATGGTTATGCTCTGTCAACTTGCGTGCCCACCTCCAACCAACTGCTGGCCCTTTCCAAGAATTAACTGACTCTCTGCCCAGCTGCTTAGTGGTTGCCACTATATGCCCCTGATAACACACTCTGCTACTTTGATTTTGTCTTATTCTGTTGTTGCTTTCCTAACAACAGAAGGATGCACTTCACGGTGTGGGTGCTCCACGCAGATCATATGTTTGGCTCCTAAAGAAATATATTTAGGAGTGCAAAAGTAAAATGGTTCCATTCAGCATGCACACTACTTAAAAACAATGAATGAGAAACAACTAACCACAATATAATATGACAAATTCAATTACATAGCTATGAATGAAAAACAGTTAATCTCTGTGGTGAGGGCCACAGGAAGAATATTTTGTTTGTGTATTCATAATTGACACATAATCATTGCACCTTTTTATGGAGTACAGTGCGATGTTTCAATGCGTGTGCACCTTGTATAATAATTAAGTCACAATAGTTAACATGTTCATTGCCTCAAAGCTTTATTATTTCTTTGTGGTGACACCTTTCAAGATCCTCTTTTCTGGCTATCTTGAAATATACAACACATTGTTATTAGCTATAGTCACCCTACTATGCAATAGAACATCAAAACTTATTCTTCCTAACTGTAACCTTATAACCTTTGACTGACCCTTCCTCATCTTGCCCTTCCTCTCCTTTTCCCAGCCTCTAATAGCCACAATTTTACTCTCTTCTTCTATGAGATCACCTTTCCTAGATTCCACCTGTAAGTCACATCATGCAGTATTTATCTTTCTGTGCCTGGCTTATTTTACTTAATATGCCCTTCAGGTTTATCTGTTTTGACACAAATGACAGAATTTCATTCCTTTTTATAGCTGCATAATATTCCATTGTGTATACATACTACAATTTTGTTATTTGCTCATTTGTTGATGAACACAGGTTAATTCCATCTCTTGGCTATTATGAATAATGCTGTAATACACATGAGGATGCAGATATCTCTTCAACATACTGATTTCAATTTCTTTGAATATATACTCAGTGAAATTGCTGAGTCACATGGTAGTTCTATTTTTAATTTTTTGAGGACTCTCTATACTATTTTTCATAATTACTGTACTAAAATACATTTGCACCAGAACTGTATGAGTTGCCTTTTCTCCACATTCTTGGCCAGCATTTGCTATTTTTGTATTTTTTCTAATAGTCATTCTAACTGGGGTGAGATGGTATCTCATTGTGGTTTTGATCTGCATTTCCCTGATGATTTGTGATGTTGAGCATTTTGTCACATAACTGCTGGCCATTTGTATATTTTCTTTTGAGAAATGTATCTTTGGGGCTTTTGTTCATTTATGAATCAGATTATTTGCTTTTTTGCTATTGAGTTGTTGAGTTTGTTATCTATTCTGGATATTAACCCTCTTGTCAGATGGAGAGTTTGCATATTTTTTTTTACCATTTCGTAGTTTGTCTCTTTGCTCTTCAATTGTTTCCTTTGCTGTGCAGAAGGTTTTACAAATATGTAATTTCATTTGTTAAGTTTTGCTTTTGTTGCTGGTGCTGTTAAAGTTCTATTTAAAAAATATATTTCCAGACCAATGTCATGAAGCACTTTTTCTGTGTTTTGTTTTTCCCAGTAATTTTATAGTTTCAGGTGTTACATTTAACTCTTTAATTCATTTTGAGTTGATGTGTGTGTAGGGTGAGGTAAGGTTCAGTTTCTTTCTTCTGCATGTGGATAATCAGTTGTCCTAGCATCATTTATTGAAGGAATTATCTTTTCCACATTATATGTTCTTGGCACTTTTGTTGAAAATCAGTTGGCTGTAAATGTGTGGGTTTATTTCTGAGTTTATTGTGCTCCATTGGTCAATTTATCTGTTTTTATGCCAGTAGAATGTTATTTTGGTTACTATAGCTTTATAGTATATTTAGAAGTCAGGTTGTGGGATATTTCCAGTTTTTGTTTTTCCTCCAACTTACTTTAGCTACTCCGAGTCTTTTGTGGTTTCATACAAACTTTTTTTTTTTCTATTTATGTGAAGAATGTCATTGGTATTTTGATGGGGATTTCATTGATTATACAGATCACTTTAGTTAGTATGGACATTTTAATGATATTATTTCTTCCAATTCATGAACATGGACTATCGTTCCATTTTTTATGTCTTCTTCAATTTCTGTCATCAGTGTTTTATATTTTCCGTTGTAGAAATATTTAACGTCCTTGGCAAAATTCATTCCCAGGTTTTCTGTAGCTATTATAAATGGGTTTGCTTTCTTGATTTTTCTCTTTAGATAGTTTATTATTGGCATTTAAAGATGCTACTGATTTTTATATATTGATTTTGTATCCTGCAACTTTACTGAATTTATTGATTAGTTCTAAAGAAGTCTTTGGGATTTCCTATATGTGTGATCATTTTGTCTGCAAACTGGAACAGTTAGACTTATTTTTCTCAATATTTCTTTCTCTTGACTAATTGCTCCAGTAAGAATTTCCAGTAGCATGCTGAATGTAGTAAAAGTGAAAATCCTCGTCTTGTTCCATTCTTGGGAGAAAAACCATTAAAATTTTTCCTATTCAGTATGATGTTAGCTGTCATTTTGTCATACATGGTGTTGATTATGGTAAGATATATTTCTTATACACCTAATTTGTTAAGAGCTTTTATCATAAAGACATTAAAGACATACTGAATTTTATCAAATGCTTTTTCTCCATCTATTTAAATGATCATATGGTTTTTGTCCTTGATTCTGTTAATGTATTATATTTATAGATTTGTGTATATTAAACCATCCTTGCATCCCTCAGATGAATCCCAAATGATTATGGTGAATTATCTTTTTAATAGGTTGTTGAATTCAGTATGCTACTATTTTTTTAAGATTTTTGCATCCATGTTTATCAGGAATGCTTGCCTGTAGTTTTCTTTCGTGTGTGTCCTTTTCTGTTTTTGGTATCAGGGGCAATGCTGGCCTCGTAAAATGATTTTTGATGTATTATCTCCTCATCAGCATTTTTGAAGAGTCTGGGAAGAATTGATATTTGTTCTTGTATAAATGTTTAGTAGAATTCAGCAGTGAAGCCATCAGGTCCTGGACTTTTCTTTGATGAGAGAGCCTTTATTGTGCTTTAATCTCGTTACTTATTATTGGTCTGCTCACATTTTCTATTTCTTCATGATTCACTTTGGTAGGTTTTATGTGCGCAGGAATTTATTCATTACTTCTATATTTTCAGTTTTTTGGTGTATATTGTTTATAATAGTCATTTATGATATTTTGTATTTCAGTTGTATCAGTTGTAGTATCTCCTTTTCATCTCTGATTTTATTTATTTGAATCTTCTCTCTTTTTTTCTTAGTCTAGCTAAAGGTTTTGTCACATAACTACTGGCCATTTATATATTTTCTTTTGAGAAATGTATCTTCGGGGCTTTTGTTCATTTATAAATCAGATTATTTGCTTGTTGATTTTTTTCTTTCCAAAAAAAAGCTCTTTATTTTATTGATCTTTTGTATTCTTAATTTCCATTTTTTAAAAATTTCTGCCTGATCTTTATTTTTTTCCTTCTACTAATATGGGATTTACTTTGTTCTTATTTTTCTAGTTCTTTAAGGTATAACATTAGATTATTCATATAAGATCTTTTTACTTTTTGTGGTATTCATTTATTAGTAAAACTTCCCTTTTATAATGGTTTTTCTGTATCCCAGAGGTTTTGAAATGGTGTGTCTCCACTTTCATTTATCTCAATAAACTTTTTTTTTTCAGTTTTTTCATGGATCCATTTGTTGTTCAGGAGCATCTTGTTTAATTTTCGTAAATTTCTTTCCAATGCTCCTTCTGTTACTGATTTGTATTTTTATTTACAGTTTTATTCCATTGTGTTTTTAAAAGCTCCTTAATATGTTTTGAATTTTTAAAAAATTGTTAAGACTTGTTTTGTGACCTGACAGATGGTGTATCCTGGAGACTGTTCCATGTACTATCGAGAAAAATACGTATTCTGTAGTTGTTGGATGGATTTTTCTGTAAATGCCTATTAGGCCCATTTTGTCTGGCGTACAGGTTGAGTTTGATGATTCTTTGTTGATTTTCTACCTGGATGATCTGTCCATTGTTGAAAATAGGGTGTTGAGGTCCCCCACTATATAGTATTACAGTCAACATCTCCCTTTAGATCTGTTAATATTACACATTAGGTGCTCCTGTGTTAGGTGCATATATTTATAATTGTTCTATCTTCTTGTTTTATTAACTCTTTTATCAATATTTTTAAACCATTCTTGACCAAACGTCTATTCTATCTGATATAAGTATAGCTACTCGTGCTATTTTTTGGCTTTAATTTGATTGGAATATGTTTTTCCATTCCCTTACTTTCAGTCTGTGTGTTTCTTTATAGGACAAATAAGTTTCTAATAGATAGCACGTATCTGGATCTTGTTTTTTCATCCATTCAGCTACTCTGTCTTTTAATTGGATAATTTAATCCATTTACATTCAAGGTTAATATTAATAGATAAGGGTTTACTACAGCCATTTTATTATTGTTTTTGGTTGTTTTGTAAATCCTTCTTTTATTTATCTCTTATTGTCTTCTTTTGTGATTGATTTTCTCTAGTAGTATGTTTTGATTCGCTGCTATTCATTTTTAGTGTATTTATTACTTTTTTTGCTTATGGTTACCATGAAGCTTTTAAAAAACAAATAATAGTTGTAATAAATTATTTTTAATTGATAACCACTTAGCTTTGACTGCAAAGATAATAAATGTAATAAAAACAAACTCTACACTTTAACACCATTCCCTTCCCAAAATATGGCCTTTTGATGTTTCAGTTTACATCATTTTATATTGCCTCTTAAACCCTTGTACTTATTATTGTCTTCAATAATAAGTTGTCTTTTAGTCTTCATGGTTAAGATCTAAGTAATTTTCATAAAACAATCACAGTACTTAAATGTTCTAAATTTGCCTGTATTCTTACTTTCACTTGTGATTTTTATATGTTCCTTTCTCTTTTTTCTTTTACATTTTTTGCTATATGTTACATCATTTTCTTTCAGATTGAAAAACTCCTTTTAGCATTTGTTGTAAGACATGTCTGGTGTTGATGAATTCCTTCAGCTTTTATTTGTCTGGAATAATCTTCATTTCTCCTTTATGTTCAAAGGATAGATTTGCTGGTTACAGTATTATCAGCTTACATAGATGTTTTGTTTTTGTTTTTTTTCCATCAGCACTTAATTTTTAAAAAATATATTTATGGGGTACAAGTGCTGCTTTGTTACATAGATGTATAGTGGTGAAGTCTGAGTTTTTAGTGTAGTTATTACAAAAAGAGTGCACATTGTCCTCATTCATTTCTCATCACCCAACCTCCTCCCATCCTCTCACCCTTCCAAGTCTCCAATGTCTATTAATCCACTCTATATGTCCATGAGTACACATTATTTAGCTTCCACTTGCAAATAATAACATGTGGTAATTAACTTTCTGTTTCTGAGTTATGTACTTAAGATAATAGCCTCCGTTTCCATACATGTTGCTTTAAAAGACATGATTTCATTCATTTTTATGGTTAAATAGTATTCCATGGTATATATACACCACATTTCCTTATCCACTCATCTCTTGATTGGCACTTAGGTTGATTCCATATCTTTGCTATTGTGAAGAGTGTTACAATAAGCATACCAGTGCAGGTATCTTCTTGAAAGAATAATTCGTTTTTTTCCTTTGGGTATATACCCAGTAGTGGGATTGCTGGATTGAATGGGAAATCTATTTTTAGTTCTCTGAGAAATCTCCATACTTTTTTCCATGGAAGTTTAACTAATTTACATCCCACCAACAGTGTAAACATGTTACATTTCTTCATATCCTCAACAATACCTGTTATTTTATGATTTTTAATAATAGCCATACTGACTGGTATAAAACGGTATCATATTGTGGTTTTAATTTGCATTCCTTTGATGCTTAGTAATGTTGAACACTTTTTCATATGCTTCCTGGCTATTTGTATGCTTTCTTTTGAAAAATATTTGTTCATGTCCTTTGTCCACTTTTTAATGCGGTGAATTGCTTTTATTTTTGCTGCTGTTGTTTAGTTGTTTGCCTTCCTTGTAGACTTTGCATAGTAGCCATTTGTTAGATACATAGTTTGCAAATATTTTGTTTCATTCTACAGGATGTCTGTACACTCTTAATTATTTCTGTTGCTGTGCAAAAGCTTTTTTAGTTTAATTAAGTCCTATGAGCATTTTTGTTTTAGTTGCATTTGCTTTTGAGGTCTTAGTCATGAATTCTTTGCCTAGACCAATGTGCAAAAGAGTTTTTCCTGGTTTCTTTTTGCTGGTATTTTTATAATGGCAGGTCTTCCACTTAGATCTTTAATCCATATGTAGTTTATTTTGGTATATAGTGAAATATAGAGGTTCAGTTTCATTCTTCTACATATAGTATTTCAATTTTTCCAGCACCATTTGTTGACTGGGGTGTCCTTTCCCCATTGTATGTTTTTGTCAGCCTTGAATAAATCATTCTACTCCCACTTAGCCTGCAGAGTTTCTGCTGAGAAATATGCTAAAAACTGTACTGGGCCTTCACTGAATGTGATATGTTTCTTTATTCTTGAAGGTTTATGTATTTTGTCTTTGTCTTTTAGTGTTGATACTTTAATTATGATGTATCTTGGTGAATTCTTCTATGGGCTGAATTTCACTGCTTACCTCTAAGTGTCCTATATCTGAATGCTGTCACCTTTCTCCAGATTTGGGACATTTTCAGCCATCATTTTCTTAAATATGTATTCTGGGCATTTTTTCTCTTTTGTGTTTTTTGGGAACTTTTATTATATGAACGTTAGTTTGCTTGATGGTATCAGGTTTTCTTTTCTCTTTTTTGTTCTCCTTTCTGCTACTCTGATTGGGTAATTTAATATAGTTCATCTTTGAGCTTTCTGTTTCTTTGCTCTGTTTGATTATGCTTTGAAGTTTTCTAACAAGTTTTTTTTCAGTTTGGTTATTGTATTGTTTATTCCTAGATTTTCTACTTTTTTGTTTCTATTTCTTTGTCCATTGTTTCATTTTGTTCCTAGATTATTTTCCAAATGTGATTTACTTATATGTGTATTTTCTTTTGATTACTTGTACTTCTTTAGGAGAATTATTATGAATTATTTTTCAAGCATTTTATAGATCTTTGGTTATCCTGGATCCATTACTGGAGCTGTGTGTATTTCTTTTGGTGATGTCATATTTCTCTGAGTTTTTACAGTTCTTGCATTTTTATTCTGATGCCTGAACATGTTAGGAGAAGGCCACCTCTTCCAGATATTTTATGTGCTGTTATTTGGTGGTGTTAGACCTTTACTATTTAATATTGAAACTTAATTATTGACTTGCTATTGATTCTCATTCTGAGGAGGACTTATTGTGAGCACCAAAATGAAAAACACTTCACTGAAACTAAATCACTGCTCTGCAATTGTTTCTCAGCCTGAGAAAGACTTGTAGTGAGCATAGGAACTTAAATGCTGTACTGGAGCTATATCACTACTCTGCTGGTGTTTCCCAGTCTGGGGAAGACTTAAGCAAGCACTGGAACTGAGTAGCTGCCTTTTAGTTGTTTCTGAGTCAGGAAAGGGCTCTGTGGGAGCACCAGGGCTTTGTTGGAACTACAGCCAGGGATTCAGGCCTTTCTGCAGATCCTGTCCCTTGAATTGCTATATCACCAGGCAGTCTCCTTAGCCTGGTAACCCTACTGATTGGAACATAAAGTTAGCAGCCACCAAGAACTGTGCACCTGTCACTGCAGTGTTCCTGATTCACCCCAGGTGATCGGTCTTCCTGGCATTCCCAAGAATTCCCATAAAATGGGACAGCAGTTGACTTCCCATGAAGATTCTCAGACTAGTGGGTAGGTGAAACATCTACATACGATTCCCTCCTCCCACCTTGGAAAACTTAGATCTATGAAATTCTATGTGTGTACCTTTATACTCACTAGGGGAGAGGGTGGTAGTCTAAAATAACCGTTTCTTGTTGCATCTTCTCTTGATTCTGTGGGTCCGTGGAATTTACATGCTTCTTCCCCAAGTTCTGGTGAATTTGGGGAGGTATTCTTGTCTTTGAATAGTTTCTAGTTGTACTTTTGTTGGGGAACTGGTGCTGGGGTGTCTTCTATTTCACTATCTTGTTAACATGACTTTAGGGAAGAGGATTTTTGAATACAGCCTAGAGGAGACTCTTTCTCTGTAGAATTTTTAAGAAAGGTCACTAGCAAGCAAAAATATATAAACTTTAGGCCTGCATAAATAATTTTTGCACTTACAATAAAGATGCAGGTATTTGGCAGAAACAAATAAATGATCCACCCAAAACACTTGTGCCTTAAATGTCAGGCGCATAGAAAACCCTGGAGAAGTAATATTGTAATGACTTACTCATTGATCTCATTTATGTACAATTTCGCTATTTAGCCCAAACAACAAAGTTGCTCTGTAAGGAGCCCAGAAAGTACTTTAGTGGCTAAGCACAACTTTATGCTGACAATGATAAACAATGCATATATACAGTTTTATGCCTCATCTTAATCCCCAGTATATCTGGAATTGTTTTACTTATTACCAGTCATTTCTACTTCATATCCCCTGATAGATTTTTTTAAATGACTTTCTCCCACCAAAACTCTTAGCTCTTGACCACAAAATGCATGAGTACTTACTATTTTGCCCTCTATATCTCATGCTTGAATGTATAGATACTCAATAAATGTTAAATGCCTGATTTGACCTAAATTGTTTTATTCTTTGTGACCAAAGGTCTTTCTTGTCAATTGAATGAACAATTGAATCCCTATGAGTCCTTTGCTAGGGTCCTGCCAAATACCCCAGTTCCTTGGAGCTCAGATTCCTGTTTTGTTCTCCTTTAGCTTCTGAAAAACTAGAATAGAGATTTGCAATTCTAGCCCTCAAAACTCCTATGAAACTTTGACTACAGCACTTGATATGCTACTGCATCCCTTTTTTAATACAAATGTGTTCACATGACGATCTCACTGACCCACTAGCATGAGTTTAATTCCCACAGTGTGCTATCACTCAGGGACTGTATTAGTTTTTCAGGTTGCCATAACAAAGTACCACAAACTGGGGGGCTTAAACCACAGAAATGTCTTGTCTCACAGTTCTGAATGTTAGAAGTCCAAAATCAAGGTGGTATAGCATTGGTTCCTTTTTAGGGCTGTGAGGAAGGATTTGTTCCATGTTTGCCACTTAGCTTTTGACAGTTTCCTGGCAATCTTTTGTGTTCCTTGGCTGCTAGAAGATGAAGACACTCTCTGCCTTTATCTGCCTTTTTGTGAGGACACCCCAGGCATACCGGATTAGGAGATCTACTTACTCCCGTATAACTTCATCTTAACTAATTACATCTGCAACAATCTTATTTCCAAGTAAGATCACATTTTGGGGGAACAAAATTTAACCCATAACAGGTATTGTTTATATTTTATTTTATTCTCACAGCAACTCAGTGAGGTAAGTTTATTTATCTCTATTAAATAAAACTGTCTCTCGGTTCCATCCAGCCAGAATTTTCAGGCAGCACTGCCATGTATGTATTTGGAAAATGTATGTTCTCTCACTCACAGAGCATCATAAAATCAGCTTCTTTAATAGAACTTTTCTTCAACTGGGAACTCTAGCTATGAACTCTTGTGGTTATATTTTATTTGTTATTGGTTTTCTGGGCTACACAATTGCTTTGTGGGCAACAGTGTGGGCAATTGGGTGAAAAGGTAACAGAGATATAATAATTCTTTCCTGGGAAATCATGCCAGCTGACCTTAACCTTTATTTCTGAAGTTACTTTCTCTTGTTTGAAGACCTAGTTTATTTTTCATAAAGTCAGTTTCAAATGGTTCAAGTGTTTTACAAGCACAATAATTGCATATGTTACATTTGAATAAGAAAATCACCAGTTTATATGTTAATGCACACTTGTTATTGATTTCAAATATTCTTTTTCACAAGGTCAGATTTAATGATGAATTTGCTCAAGAAGCATTTGTTAAAGAACATAAAAAAGCACTATTTTGTACCAAAGTTTTGTTGCTTTTTTATGACTTAATTCAATAATCTTTTATTAACAAATGATGCTTATAGAAAATTCTACTTCAATTTTACTTTACTTCTTTATTTAATGTTGAGATTGTATTAAACCAACAGATAGTAGGCAAAGATGTAGTGAGGCAGTGTTTTATTACAGATTTAGAGATTTCATCTCTAGCTGCTCAGGTTAATAACTGTAGTATGGAGACAAGAAACACCCATCAGTAGAGTGCATTGTATATCAGGGAATATTCTCCATGGACTACTCTAGAAGATGGTCTGCTCATAGATAGGAGTAATTGAAACCCCCTCCAACATAGAAGCAAAGATTACTAGCATAGCACATTCACATACGAAGTTAGTCATACTAGAAATCCTAAAATGTTTCACCTTAAATCTGTGTAGCAGGAATTAGCAATACAAAATCACAGGCAAGAACAAATGTATGTTAATAAGAAATAAAGTATCTGCTAACTAAAATGGAAATAAACTGTAAAAAATAGATTATCATAATGAAGAGTTATCATAATGAAGAGTCAAATAATATTTCATAGGATAGTTGTCTCGGCTTCTGGTAGCAAAAATATTATGTGAAAATAAGAGAAGAAAGATAAGGACAGAGACACCAATTGAATTACTTGTGAGTGAGGGTTGACCCAAAGATAAGGAAATAATAAGTAAAAGCAAACCGTAGTGACTCTTATTTGTAATTTGAGTTATATATTTTATTTTAAAAAATATCTTAGTAACTCTGTGTTCTTTATCCTATGGTTTGGTTTTAGCATTTTCTTCTGCCTACCTTTTTGTTGTTTTCTCAAAAGTCCAAATGAGAAGTTATTATTTGCATTGTATTTTCTTTATTGTTAAAAAAAAGAGATATCCAAACCCGATTGTAATAAATTCTGCTAATAGTTTCGCAGGTAGCCTTTTATGATTAGTTTTTTACATAATTATATCTAAATTAAACTATTTTCAGGTTTAAATGATATCCCCATGATTTCTCTTTTCTCATACTTAATTTACTTCTCCTATAACCTCCACTTAGACTGATATAATAGCCATTTTGCCAGGCTCCTGGTTTCTGTGTCTTTATCCTTCTCCTATTTCATATAGTATGATGTGTGCTGGCTAAGTGAAGGAGCCAGGAAATTCTTGTAAGAGTAGAGGTAAATAAGTTAGCATTAAAGCCAAAGTAGCAATCATACATTTGGATATCATGGAAAATTTGAACAATATCTTTTGTCTTTCAGAATCTAAGAATAGTCCTAACAGTAATTCATAGAATCCCCCTTGAGCAGAGACTTGCACTGCTCCTCTTTGACCACCGCTGTTTCCACTCACATGCCTTCATGTATTGATCCACACTACTCAGTTAGTTGATACTTGGTGAACTCCTCCTATTGCCAGAGACTGGGCATATGATGGTAACTAGCAGGTAGGGAACTCTTTCCTTGATCGCACTAGAATTTATTATGACAAGTGAATAGAAGACTAATCTATTTTTATATTATTCTTTGAAGTGTTAAAATAAATGCTATGATGGGGATTTACAGGTTATTAAGAGCTCATGTCCTGGGTACCTAATCCAGTTACAGGGACCAAAACTGACTTTCCAAAAGAGTGATATCCAAGCTGAGACCCAAAGCACAGTTAGGAGATACTCAGGCAAGTGAGAGAAGACAAAAGGGTGATTTCTCTAACCCACTAATTAGGGGTTACAGGGTGCACAAGCACAGAGAAGCCAGAAAGAGTGCACTAAGGAACTGAAATGAGGCCTGTCAGGTGAGGTCTAGAGCATGCAAGAGAAGGAGCAGTGTCCAGGGCTGAGGCTACAAAGGGAAGCAAGGGGCAGAATTTGAAGCTTTGTGCACATTCATTTCCCAACCTTCTTGTGTTCTGCAACATACATTACTCAGGTTTCCCCACCAGCTGGCTTGCAGTTATGTTCAGAGATGAGGGTGCTCACCTGAGACTATAGGACAGGAGAGGAGAAGCCAAGGTGTTTTGCTTCCCTTTCTCAGCAGAGGCTGCATCTTCTCCACAATTCCAGCTACCACCAGGCTCTCCTCATCCCTAATCCCTCCTCCTAACAGGCAAGTTCCCACTTCTGCCAGTAATCCCTGACTTTGGGTTCTGGTAACATCGCATGCTCTTTTCTCACACCAACCTAGAGGGGTAATGCCTTCTTCCTGTTGTGCACTTCTGTTTGACTCAGGATCCCTTGTGTTTCTCTTAATTTCTTCCAGCCTCTTTATTATGGTTTGCTCTTTTCTTTTAACTTCTTTGTAACTGTTTGCCCCTTTGGATTACTTTATGTGGAATCTGTTTGCCTGAATGGAAGCTGGCTGAGAAGAGTCTCACAGGCTATGTTAAGGAGAATAGGACTTTTTCTGGAAGTAATAATGAAAAAAAACTGTTTTAAACTGGGTATGTGATTTAGTAATGTATTTACTGCAGAGTGATCACATTGTCTAAAATGTGAAGAATAAACAGCAACAGAAGTAGTTACGAGGCTCCAGTGAAAACCTAGGTGAGAAAGGCTGGGTTATGATACTTGCAGTCGGCCTGGAGACACACGGGTAGATTCCAGCCATAGAACTTCAGCTCTAGTCGTGATCAATTATTTGAGCGGGGAGAATGAAAGGGGATTCAGGAGCGAGTCCCAAGCTTCCTTTCTGAGCATCTGGCTGAATAGTAGTGCTGTTCACTGTAATGGAAGATACAAGGGGAGCAGGCATAATGAGAGAGAGTGATGAATTCAGTGTGGGGATACAGAGTTGTTTGTGTTTATGAGATACCAGAGTGGTACTATTCAATATTACTATGTGTACCAGACTGGAGCTCAAGAGAGAATCTGTACTGGAGAGACAGATGCTGGAGTCATCACTGTGAAAAGTGTAATCAAAGCCATAAAAGTGGACAGTGTTGCTTGGGGACTTTAAAGTAGTGGTTCCTAAGCTTGGTCAAGTCACAAAATTCTTTGATAATTTCCCCAGATTAATGCATATAAGCATGTAATAACTCTGCTCTAAGCAGAAAGCAAGCTAGGAGGGGACTCTTCAAACACCAATATTTAAAGGTTAGGCTGAGAAGGCTCACTCAATATTTCTGTGTCTGCTTGTTAAGTGAATGTCCATTTCTAACTCACTCACCACTGTTCATCTCACTACCTCTTGGGTTTTGTTTGCTGAAGGTTCTGCTTATGGCCTGGGACAAAGATGACTAGTTGGCCTCTAAAAGTCCCCTTGTGTACCGGTGTCCCTGCCATACTACATTTCCCAGGACCCCTAATCCCACCCCCAACCCCAATTTGCATCTAGGTATCTCCTTTGACCAGTTCTTATTAATCAAAAAATGAGTGGAAATGATGTGAATCACTAACTCCTGGCCAAGTCTCAAAAAAACACTATGGTTCTTCCATTCTCTTATCTGTCCTGCTGGCTGTTACTAATGGTAATGAGCAATTTGGGGAAAGCAGAGCCACAAAGTGGGAGAGTCCTGCTCCCAGAATCACTTTGTGCTGTGAGCTTCCCACTGACCAGGAATACCCACTTTGGACTGTCACAGGAATGAGATAAGAAACTTCTATTGTTTGAGATGCATAAGTTTGTTCTATCTTTTGCAGAGCTTTAGCCTATACCAATGAATACACTGCATTACCTGTGAGTTTCTTTCAAATTCTCCTTTATTCTGACCACTTTTGCTCTGTGTATATGTGTCTAAAGCTTCTCAAGGGATCCAACTGGCTTTGAAAATTACCATCTGATAAAGTATTCAACACTGGGAAAGATTTTTCTGTCAATCACCTGGTCCCTCTTATGTTCAGTGATGGGTGACTGCCTTAAGCATAGTCACAGATTCTTGGAATTGATTCTGGCTGTGATAACAGGGTCAAATGGTACTACACATGAAATGTGTGTGTAAGCTACTCTTTCTGACCACTTTGCTCAGAAGAAAGGTAATATTTGCCCCAGTTTTTTGGAGGAAAGTCTCAACTTATGCTCATTCTTTCAGTCTAATCACTAAGATTGTTCCCTTTTACTCTCAAAAGTATCCCAGCTTAGAATACAAGTTACATAATCACCCTGTTCAAGAGAAGCTTACAGACATTTATCTACTGCTAATCAGATTCCATACGTAAACTCCATTTGTATCTGCATTGCTGTTCAAATACCTCACAATTAAACTACTCGACTATTTTCTGGACTTGGTCTCTTCATTTATCTAACTTCATTTTCCATGCTGTCTAATACACTCACTCCTTGCCATATAGCCAGACATTACTCTCTTATATGGACATTAGATGTTTACCTACCCATCACCAATCTTTCTTTTCTAGTAAGGCCCCCCTCCCTTTTCTTTGGGCAACCACTTATCAGTGTGTTAGGTCAGATGGTGCTGCCTCCACCCTCCACTCCAGGGTTGAACTTGTGGTCAGGGCAATGCTGGTCAGAGCCTCATATTTCCCTGGCCTATCTGGTCTAGTGAGGATTAGACCCATGATCCATGACCTAAGAGCATCAGTCACAGCATAACCTTAAGATTTTGTTAGAATAACAGAGAGGAGGCTGATCCCTATACTACACACACACACACACACACACACACACACACGCACACACAGATACACAGAGAGAGAGAGAGAGAGAGATTCTTGACAATCATGTCTAAATACAAGTCCTGATTCCAGACTACCCATAGAGATTTTCAATATTGAGCTAATAAATTTATTCACTTGCAACTGAAAGGAGTCATAATATATGTCTCTAACTTGCTCCTCTGTGCTTTTATTCAGGTTATTTCCTCAAACTGAAATACCCTATTTCACTTTTTACCCAATCCAGCTTCATTACCTTGGGATTAGGCAAAGGCACTCATTTATCTTCAGAGATCCTTTCCTGACTAACTTCATCCCACTATAATCAGTCACTTACTCTGAAAACATTAGCCTTTACATACAGGCTCAAACTGCAGAGCAACAGATGCCTGCTATTTCACAGGAACCAGTAGCACTACTATTAAGGGGGGAATTGCAATATTCCATTATGCACAACAGTCCTTCCAGTAAATTTTAACAACTGAACTAATACCACTAGTGTATATCAGAACTCTTTCACTTGAACACAATAGAAACTCAACTTGTACCAAGTTAATTAAAGAATCCATTGGCTTGTGTAACTGGGTGATGCTGGTAGAGATTTCAGTGAGGGCTGAACTCAGGGGTTCAAGCCAGGCTTGTTCTCTCTTGTTCCATCTCTCAGCTCTCCTTTCCTTTGTGCATTTGCTTAATGCTCCCCACAAAGTGAGAAATATAGCTATAATCATCCTTTCAGCTTAGCAGCCGTCACCATTAAATGCAACATTTCTAGCTAATTATCATATAAAAGTCCAGGAGAGTCCATCTTTGAGCTTGGGTCCATCTACGAAGCAGTCACCGAGGCAAGGGGTAGGGAGTTCTCTCATTGGCAAGGCCTTCGTTAGCCCATATGGCTCCAGAGCCTTTGTACAAATGAGCAAATGATTTCCCCACTAGGTGGATACAGCCCTGCAGGTGAACAGCTTGGCAAGCAGATGGAGCCTTTATGAGAATTAGAAAAAGGCGACCTTTCTTCGGGCATATATACCCCATGCCAAGGTACACAGCTTGGGGAGAGAAGCATGGCTAGATTTCAGGCCCCACTCATTCCCTTGCCCAGAGACCCTTGAAAACAACAAACTGTGTAAGTCTGCCTATTCATTGGCCATTATGAATCACATGATCACCTTTTGTTGGAGCTTGGTAGAATGTGGGGAGATACAGGTAGGCAAAGTCACTATGATTGCAGGCCCCAGGTCCAGACATAGAGATGAGACAGGCCCTGACAAACAAACAAACAAACAAAAAACTGGGAAGATAAACAACATAAGCTCACTTTGCCATACAACTGAGACATACCTTTCCCAATTATATAATAATTTTTAAAACCCACAGTAGTAATTAGAATATTGATATTACCTTTTGCTAAATAAACAGGAGAAATTTAATTGGGAACAATTTTTCAAAACAATAGAATATGTAGATAGGCAACTTTTTTTCTACTTTTCACATAAGTAAAATTAACTAGTATCATTTACAAATACAATAATTTTGAAATTTCATTTCAGTAACATTATGAGAAACTAAATGCAGTGTGCCATAGCAGCCCACTCCTGCTACCTGATTTTATCTTTTGCTTTGAAATAGTTTCAGCATACATAAAGCTGGTTGGCCAGTTAATCACTTAACTAAAGGACGAGTTCCTAATACTCTCTCAAGAAGACCTGAGCTTCTCAGCTTAGCTGATCTCTCTTGAATTCTGGCCCCTTCCAAAAAAGGTTATGGTAGCTATTACTTTTTATATTCAAATTTCAATAATAATACTAATGATATTTAGTTAACCATGATATCTTCCATCTCTAATTATATGTCAAGCAAAACATGTTAACTGAACAGTCAAGTTCAGTTAACTGGGAAATCTAATTCTCTCCCTTTGTCTTACTACTGCTTTTGTTTAGTTTCCCTTCTTTTCTATTGAATGTGATATTATCCACGACCTCTTCCCCACTACTGTTCTTTCAAGGGCAAAGTTATCAGAGGGTTTAATGTTTTCATTATTATGTTTATATATATGTATAATTTTTAAAGTGAGTATGAACACACAGAAAAATATTATATGAAATAGCTGCAAATTGGTATTCTTAGAGAATCGTTTTACACTTTTTTTTTCCAATTGGAATATGTGCTAATTTTATTATATTTTGTTTTTTTTACAGTATGCATTTTTTGCTAGTATCTTCAGATCGTGTCTTCTATTTGTTTTGTGATTACATAAGCTCTGGAATGAAGGTAGATTCATAACATAAGCTCAGTTAATATTAAATAAATTATATATTAATTCCATAAAGTCATCTCAAAAATTCATTGCATCGTCATCAAAATTATGCTATCTTTTTCTATTGGAAAACAATAGGCCCTAGGAAGACATCCATCCTTCTCCTGTTAGAAACTATGAACAAAATAACAAAAAATGGAAATAGAGAGTGTGGTAAAATAGATAAACTTTTAAGTTTGCCAGTAAAAAAAGGTACTTTAGCTTGAACATCTTTAAAGGTGATATGCCTCATTCAAATCTAATATGTCATGATATGGTAACTGTTGTAAAAAAAATAATGCAGAGTAGGGATATTGGGCTTTGGGTTAGATTTAGTGTGGAAATAAGCAATTAATGATCTGTGCCACAGAAATCAGAAGAGCAAAAGAGCACTGGCAAACTTTTAGAAGGATACTAATGAATGAGAGGAGGGAAAATACTGTGAAAGGGGTAAAGGATAGAAGACCAAACCATCTGCCTAAAAGATTTGCTACATCCCAAATTAGAAATAATGCTAAAATATATATAAAGTAGATAGTTGTACTTTTTTGAAAATCTGCCTGCCATTGTGAGAAGTATGTTTTGGGGACAAAAACAGGAACATTGAACAGTACTATTGCTCAATATTCATATATGCACAGTTATTCATTCTAACCTCAATTCCATATGTAAAGTAAACTTTAAAAATGTTTTACAAAAAATATATGAATATCTGCTTAAGAATTCTTAGACACCATTCTCTCAGTTCTTCTCTTCCTAACTTAGTTAAATATAATTCCACCCAGGTACAACTTCCCATTTGGAGTATGGCTTCATAATTCTTTTTGTGTGGGTGGCATATTTGTGTGTATTGTGTTCAAGTATTAATCCTGTCTATTGTGATGTCCTTTGTTTCTCTCTCTTCTAACTATATTTCCAAAGTATAACTAATCTGTTTTAGTTGATGTGTTTTAAACTTATGATCTTTCCTAAATCATGGCATTTTGTAAAATCCTCTGATAGTATTTTGTTGGACACAATATTAAAATAATGAACTGAGTTTCAAAATTTAAACAACTTATTGGCTACAATGTAAAGAAATGCTAACTCCAAGTACATTAGAAAAAATAGAATTTATCAGTTTAACAAAACAAGGAATAGTTTAATAAGTTACCTAAATTTAATAAGTTACCTAAATTACCTGTTACCTAAATTGTTTTTCATAGAAGGTAAGAAATAGAATAAATTGTATCTTCTGAATTTTATATGGTAAATGTTTAACTCAATGGATTTTTTTTTAGATTTGATATAAATTATCAGTGGACAATTCTGGCTGTCCTGATTTGGGTCAGAGGCCCACTCTTAGCCCAAGTGAATAGAGAAAAGAATCATGGAAGATCATGGGTGAGACTAGAAAGTGCAGTTCCAGGAATATTGGGACTCTTGCTCCTGGAAGAACTAAGGCATCAGACTAAAAATTGCAATAATAAGAAATGACCAAACACTGTGATTTCAAAATACTTAAAGGTGAATCTACAGGGCAGTGAAGAGTCTATTTTTTTTTCTTAAATTTTTTTTCTTTTTTTTTTTTTTTTTGAGACAAAGTTTCACTCCTGTTGCCCAGGCTGGAGAGTGCGATCTCAGCCCACCGCAACCTCCGCCTGCCTGGTTCAAGCAAGTCTCCTGCCTCAGCCTCACGAGTAGCTGGGATTATAGGCACGTGCCACCACGCCCGGCTAATTTTGTATTTTTAGTAGAGATGGGGTTTCTCCATGTTGGTCAAGCTGGTCTCGATCTCCCAAAGTGCTGGGATTACAGACATGAGCCACCACGCCCAGCCTTAATATTTTATAGAGATAGTGTTGTTTCACATATATTAAATAGGAAGTTAAATTTAAAGTTTAAACTAAGGCCCTGAGATAAGACAGATTTCTCACGTTAAATGAGTCGTAGAGACAGTGACTTGTGAGATAGACCAACTGCATTAGTCAAAAGAAATATATGTCTAAGAACTAAATTCCCTACCTTCACCTATTAGAATTATAGCCAAGAATCAAAGAAGAGTTGAGAAGGAGAATTGGAGAAGAGACATTACTGGAGAAAGATGCCGTCTTGTCCCACTCAAAGACAAGGGGAAGGTAGATAGAGTAACCAGATATAATAGAGGACTTCCATTACATTTGAATATTTAGTTAAACAATACATAATTTTTATATAAATTTGTCCTAAAAACTGTACTATTTATTTCTTATTTGAAATTAAAATTAAGGTAGGTGTACTTTATTTGATAATTCTGGCTAGCCAAAATGTGGAGGGACTCTACCTCCCAATCCCCAGTGAGACTGGCCCCAAAGGGACTATGCAGAGAGTATGCCCCATAATGGAGACTTAGCAAGAATGCTGACAGAGACTGAGAAATTTAGAGCTTTGCAGCAGAGCAGTGGTCTGTTTCTATTCAGAAGAAGAAAAGAACGTAACAAAACCCTGTGCCACAGAAAAGTAATTGCCAGAAAGAGCCCTCTTGATTCTTGCCCAAGAGAGCAGGTGTGTGGGGGGCTGTGTGGGAATGGACCACTGGGAAGCCAGGGGCTGCACAGAAGAGATTGTGTGGTGCACAGTCTGTCAGAGGGTTCCACAAAAGCAACTATGAGACCAAGATTTGAATTTACATCTATGCCAATCAAAGAATATAAAGATATCTTACCACCATGCCAATTAGTAGAAATTTTCTGTATCCGATTTTCTCCAAAATCCAATCCCAGAAAGACTAGAAGCTTGAGGAACATTATCAGCAGAACAGGAAAAAAAGTTAATCACAGTTAATCATACTCCCTCACAGGAAAGATACATCCTACTCGATACTCAGTAATACTGGAGGGTGAGGGATGGAGATCATTGAACATTGCAAGGAGAAGTGGCAAGAAATTTTATTTTTTAATGAATCATGAAGATTTAAGCTATTGTACTGAACAATCCTAACTATGTAATTCAAAGGATTTTTTGAAACAAAGTCATCACATAAATTTTTTTAATGAAAACAAGAAAAAGTAACTATGAATAAATTTTGAAAGGACCGTGAGAAATAGTACATGAAGTTGTGTTGATCATAGTTGTTTAGTTATGTTTATTCAACCCACCAGTTATGTTCAGGGATGTGTGTCTTTACCTTTTTGTTAGTATTCAGTTGTAAAAGTCCATTGAAGATTCAAGCATTAAAATGACATAGGGATTTGTTTACTGATAATTCATTACATCAAAATAATAATTTCATATAAGAAAATGATGATGTCCTTTTTTACTTTTATAATACAAATTTAATCTGTGTCATTTTTATCTTGGGTGAATTTTAATAAAGAATGGTAACAAAGACTGTTCTGTTGGGGAAATGTCTATAGAATATTTTTTTCTAATAGCAGTGTAGAAAATATATTTCAGGTAGACTAGAAACTCATTACACCATAATAAAAAGAACACTATGTATAAAACAAAGTGTGCACTGTTCCTAACAATAGTTCTGCCTCTATTTTTTAAGGAATGAATTTTCCAATGGCAGATGCTTGGAAAGACACTTTTGGTGAACTACTGACATTTGTGTATCTCTCTTTCCCATCTCTTTCCTCTGCATCTCTGTGCCATGATTCAGCCAGTTTCAATAAAGTCAGCTGATTTGAGACTAGATATGCAGTTCAAAATTAAGCTAAGAAAATGGCTTGTTTGAGGGCTGTAGCTGGGGGCATCTTTATCAGAACTCTTTTAATAGTTCAGTAGAAAATGCAGAATCAGATAGCACCAAGCACTAATTCAACAATTTAATTAATTAATTTATTTTTGGAGAAGGAGTCTCACTGTGTTGGACAGGCTGGCCTCAAACTCCTGGGCTCAAGTGATCCTCTTTCCTCAGCCTCTCAAATAACTGGGACTACAAGTGCAGGCCAGGGTGCCCATCTACAGTGAAATTTTAATGCAACCTAGGGGTTTATATTATTTTACTTTGTTTGATAAATCAGTGCAACTTTGTGGTCTTATATCTAAATGAGAAAATATTTGTTAAGCAAACATACAAGGAAATGTAAAAGCAGAAACCCTAGAGTTAATATCTATTATATAGTGATAATATATAAGATTATTATTTCATTGTGTGATATTGTGGTGGGCCTACTGAAATTATTATATTCAGAACTTACAAATAAATATATTTATGTTTATTTTCAACCCATTAATACTGGTTAGAAAAAATGTTTTAAGATGGTACAGTTCTTTGAAATCTCCTTGTAAATATACTAAAATTATGTATTCAGAAGTCCACATTAATCATCTTTAAAATGTGCATAAAAATATGAATCTTTGGATACTCAATGACTCCTTCAATCCTCTGTTCTCATTCCTGAATGAGAATGGAGTGTAGCCACCATTAATCACACATGAAACAAGGAACTTTCAGATTCGATTTTTAGTGGGAAAAGCCTGTTTTTTAGCTGTACACAGCAGAAATAACTGCTGCTATATTTGTTGTAATGCCCAAGCATGGTGCTACTGAAATTATGTCAACCATTTGATGTAGCATTTACAAGTCATAAGCAATTCCCTGTACCTTTTATAAACAAGGCACTGTAAGTTCTTATATTTCCCTTGGCTTAATGCCAAGTCAAGCTTTCCTACACAACAGTTTTCATACTGGGCCTGTTTCAGTACCAAGACTAAGAATTACAGAACTGCGATTAGGCAGATATCTTGTGGTGGTTAAGGGGCCTATGCAACATGTTCTAAGCCTCTATTATTCAGGGTTCTCTAGAGGGACAGAACTAATGGAATAGATATATACATAAAGGAGAGTTTATTAAGTATTAACTCACACAATCACAAGGTCCCACAATAGGCTGTCTGCAGGCTGAGGAGCAAGGAGAGCAGTCCGAGTCCCAAAACTGAAGAACTTGGAGTCTGATGTTTGAGAGCAGAAAGTGTCCAGCATGGGAGAAAGATGTAGGCTGGAAGGCTAGGCCAATCTCTCTTTTCACATTTTTCTGCCTGTTTATTTTCTAGCCCGCTGGCAGCTGATTAGATTGTGCCCACCCATATTAAGGGTGGGTCTGCCTTTCCCAGCCTACTGACTCAAATGTTAATCTCCTTTGGCAACACCCTCACAGACACACCCAGGATCAATACTTTGCATCCTTCCATCCAATCAAGTTGACACTCAGTATTAACCATCTCAAGTCCACCCCTTGTCAACTCGAACCCATACACATCTCCTGAGATCATACATAATCCTCACAATAATAAGGTAATAATTATGCCTAACATAATACAACTATCCTACATACAACTGGAAATGCACCAAGCCCCAACTCAAATACTATTACGTAAAGTTCACAATGTTTAAATGCTGAAGTCAATAAATCTTATGTCCCATGATAAAAGAGAAAGGAAATAAAACGATGATATTTTCTTAGTACAAGAGCATACATGCACAAACATGTTTTTAACAAAAGAAGGAAGAAATACTTATGACAATTACAGTCCTCATTTCTGCAGCTGGTCACATGGTCATAGCTGATATTGATTATTACCTTCTGCTACCCATTCCGCATTTCCTTTGCCTTCAGCAAGCACCTCAGCAGGTGATGGTTTTTTCCCTGGTGGAGTGACCCAAACCTTCATTCCTGAAGGATGTGAGAGATTTGTAGTCCTGCCTGGATTGAGCTGTTGTAGTTTCCCATTGACCTTAATCACAGGGCATGGTAACACTAAGAGACGCCCTAATGGTTCTCCTATGTTCAATGCATACTCTTCCTTATCTCCGTTGTGGACTGGTAGACTGATTTCATCTTGTTAGTCTAGGTCAGTCACCCCAGCCAAACTGTAACTCCCTTTCTAGCCTGTTGACTTAAAGGTAGGAGGAGCCCAAAGTGTCCAGGTGGCAATCTTAACTTCCAGTTTAATGGAACAGTTGTTGTGCATCCTGGTGGCAGCATTCCTCTCTGGGAACAAAGACCTCTAGGCCAGCAGAACGTAATGTTGTGGGAACAGGAAGCAAAAATGTTGCCCTTGGATCACTGTGGGTGATGGTGAGTGGCGCCACTTCCACTTCCACCCCTTGATTGCTGGACCCATGGATCCTGGCTATGCAAAAAACATATTGGATGCTGATTCAGAGCATACACAGCCTTCTGGAGAACTTTGTCCCAGCCCTGCAAAGTATTGTCACCTAGTTGGTGTTGTGACTTCCAATGGCTATTCTACCATTCTATCAATCCAGCTGCTTCAGGATAATAGGGAACGTAGTAAGACCAGCGAATTCAATGAGCATGAGCTCACTGCCACACTGCTTTAGCTGTAAAGTGAGTGCCTTGGCCAGAGGCAATGCTGTGTGGAATACCATGATGGTGGATAGGGCATTCTATGAGTCCGCGAATGGTAGTCTTGGCAGAAGCATTGCACGCAGGATAGGCAAACTCTTATTCAGAGTAAGAGTCTATTCCAGTGAGGACAAACCTCTGCCCTTTCCATGATGGAAGAGGTCCAATATAATCAAAATGCTACTGGGTATCTGGCACCATCTGAGGAATGGTGCCATATTGAGGGCTTAGTGTTGGTCTCTGCTGCTGGCAAATTGGGAACTCAGCAGTGGCCATAACCAGGTCAGCTTAGGTGAGTGGAAGTCCAGGTTGCTGAGCCCATGTGTAACCTCCATCCCGGCCACCATGGCCACTTTGTTCGTGGGCCCCTTTGGGTGATGACAGGGGTGATTAGGGAAAGAGGCTGAGTGGTGTCCACAGAACAGGTCATCTTATCCACTTGATTATTAAGGTCCTCTTCTGCTGAGGTCACCGTTGGTGGACACTCAAATGAGATACAAATATCTTCAAAGTTGTTTTAACCACTCAGAGAGGTCTATCCACACCTTTTCCCCAAATTTCTTTGTCACCAATTTTCCAATCATGCTTCTTCCAAGTCCCTGATCATCCAGCCAAACCATTGACTACAGTCCATGAACCACTATATAATCACACATCTGGCCATTTTTCCTTCCATGCAAAGTGCACAACCAGGTGCACTGCTCAAAGTTCTGCCCACTGGGAAGATTTCCCTTCACTACTTTCCTTCAGGGATGTCCTAGAAAGGGGCTGTAGGGCTGCAGCTGTCCACTTTTGGATGGTGCCTGCATATCGTGCAGAACCATCTATGAACCAGGTCCTAGGCTTCTCTCCTTCATACAGCTGATCATAGGGAACTCCCCATGAGGCCATCGGTACAGGCTCAGGGAGAGAAGACTGTGGCAGGAGTGGAGACCGTGGGCATTTGAGCCACTTCCTCATGTCACTTATTTGTGCCTTCAGGACCTGCTTGAGCATGATCACATATATAACACTTCCGTTTTATGATGGAATGCACTGTACATGACCCACTTTATGGCTAGATGGGTCAGAAAGCACCCAGTTCATGACAGGCAGTTCAGGTCTCATGGTGACTTGATGATCCATAGTCAAACATTCAGTTTCCACCAAAGCCCAGTAAGAGGCCAAAAGCTGTCTCTCAAAAAGAGAGTAGGTATCTGCAGAAGATGGCAGGGCCTTGCTCCAAAATCCTAGAGGTGTCTCCTGTGATTCACCTATGGGGGCCTACCAAATGCTCCAAACAGCATCTCTATCTGTCACTGACACCTCAAGCATGATTGGATCTTCTTGGTCATATGGCCCAAGTGGCAGAGCAGCTTGCACAGCAGCCTGGACCTATTGCAGAGCCTTCTCCTATTCTGGACTTCACTCCAAACTGACAGCCTTTTGGGTCACTCGATAAATGGGCAGGAGTAACACACCCAAATGAAGAATGTGTTTCCTCCAAAATCCAAATAGGCTGACTAGGCATTGTGCCTCTTTCTTGATGGTAGGAGGGGCCAAATGCAGCAACTTATCCTTCACCTTAGAAGGAATATCTTGACAGGTCCCACACCAAGGGACCCCTGGAAATTTTACTGAGGTAGAGGGTTCCTGAATTTTAGTTGGATTTATTTCCCATCTTCTGGCATGCAAATGTCTCACCAATAAGTCCAGTGCATTTGCTACTTCTTGCTCACTGGATCCAATCAGCATAATGTCATCAATGTAATGCACCAGTGTGATATCTTGCAGAAGCAAAAAGCAATCAAGGTCTCTCTGAATAAGATTATGACACAAACCCTGAGGTAAAACAGTAAAGGTATATTTCTGGTCTTGCTAGACGAGGGAAATGGCTTTTGGTGGGCTTTATGAACAGGAATGGAGAAAAAGGCATTTGCCAAGTCAATGGTTGCATACCAGGTACCATGAGATGTGTTAATTTGCTCAAGCAATGAAACCACACCTGGTACAGCAGCTGCAATTGTAGTCACCACTTGGTTAAGCTTATGATAATCCACTGTCATTTTCCAAGATCCATCTGTCTTCTGCACAGGCCAAATGGGAGAGTTGAATGGGGATGTGATGGGAATCACCACCCCTCCATCTTCCAAGTCCTTGACGGTGGCACTAATCTCCACAGTCCCTCTAGGGATGTGATATTGTTTTTGATTTACTATTTTTCTAGGGAGGGGCAGCTCTAATGGCTTCAATTTGGCCTTTCCCACCATAATAGCCCTCACCATACCAGTCAGGGAGCCAATGTGGGGGTTCCACCAGCTACTAAATATGTCTATGCCAATAATGCATTCTGATACTGGGGAAATGACCACAGGATGAGTCCAGGGACCCACTGGACCCACTGGAAGTCAGATCTGAGCTAAAACTCAGTGAATTACCTGACCACCATAAGCCCCTACTTTAACTGGAGGACCACAATGATATTTTGGGTCCCCTAGAGTCAACGTCAGTTCAGAGCCAGTGTCCAGTAGTCCCCAGAATGTCTGATCATTTCCCTGTTCCCAATGCACAGTTACCCTGGTAAAAGGCTGGCTGTGTCCTTGGGGAAAGATGGGAGAAAGACTCAATTGCATAAATTGTTGGTAAGGTAGTGGGGTCTTTCCTCAAGGGGACCCGGCCTCCCCATCATTCAAGGCATTCTGGGTCTGTAAACTGGCTCAAGTCTGAAAACTGAGGGGCCATGATTCTCTGTTTTCATAATTCAAATTAGTCTTTTGTTCATTTGACCTAGAAGTTTTCTGTTTATATAAATTAAGTAGGAATACAGTAGGCTCCCTGTCAATTTCACTTTTAAGAAACCATGATTAATTAGCCAATGCCAGAGCTCTACTGGAGTCAGACTATTCTGATTGCTGCTTTGGCTCTGCTGTCCATTATGGCAGCTATGCCCACCTTGCCTTGGACAGTTGACTGCTGCCACTTTACCCCTGTCACCTCAGGATACAATTATTCCCATCGTATTTACATTTTGTAGTTGAGTTACTGTGGTTCCCACTGTTAGATCTGACACACAGAGAAGAGCAATTGCAGGGCTCTTCAAAGATGCAGGTGCTACCCTCACCAATCTATTTAGCAAGGCATTCATCAAGAGTATATCTTCTACATCCTCCCAGCTGGGATGAGTAACTCTAAAGTGACTAATCCATTCCACCATCCCAATCTCGCTAAGCCTTTGGATTCCTTCTCTACATTAAACCAACGGAGATCAGGTATTTCCAGCTCACTCACAGTGGGCCAACTTTTAATCCATATTTCAGCTAACCAAGCAAATAAATTATTAGAACCTTTTTTAACTCCCAGAGCTGTAACATTAAATGCAGAGTCCCTACTTAGTGGTCCCAAATTAATAAATTCAGCCTGACCCAACTCTGTGTTCCTTCCATCATTATCCCACACCCTTAATATCCATTCCCATGCCTGTTCTCCAGATTTCTGTTTATATAAATTAGGTAATTTAAGCAGTTCTTTTTTAGTGTAGCACACCTACTCATGGGTCACTCTCTCAACCGCACCTCTAGGGGCCCACCAGGACTTTATAGGTCTAGAAGCAAACAGGGTGTTGGGGATGGCTCCTGAGGATAATCAACATTATCTTGCCTGGCAACTGCCATAGGAGAGGCCATTACTGTTGCCTGAGGCAGTGCAGGGTTTATCTCCTCAAAGGTGGAAAGGCTGATGGCAGCATGGGTCAGGGAGGGGATGTTGCCACTACTGGGGATCAGCAACCTCTTCCTTCTGGCAGAAAAGGTTCATCAGAGTTTACAAACTCAGTGTCCCCAGCTTCATCAGGGTCCTCTCACACAACCCCATTCCAAGTTGCAGGGTCCTATTCTTTTCCAATCAATGCCCTCACTTTAACAGTAGACACCTGGTGAGGCTGTCCACGCACCTTTAGTTGCAGGTCAGCCACTCGCATGATAAAAGCTTGTGTCTGTTTTTCCACAATTTCAGCTCTTTCTTTACAGGAGATAAGATTTTCATTCTGGGCAATCTTAGCAGATTTGAGTCTCAGCATCTTCTTCTGAAGCCGGGAGACAGAATCCCTGAGTTAATAATTTCTTTCATCACTTTGTCCACTGAACTTAGGAGCAACCAACCAGCTTCATTATGTTCCTTGGTTCTCCACATGGTCAAAGGTTTTATGTTTAGAGTCACTAAACTTGCCTCTCATGAGCGATGAATCAGGAGTGTCAAATACATTTATTTTGCCTAACTCTCTAAACAGTTCACACCAAGAACTATCAGTGTTTTTTTCTATAAATGAAAACACTTGATTGTTGATCTCATTTGAAGTGAGTAAACAACCGTGTGATGACTCACTGACTATTTTCAAGCTCTAACAATATATTATTTTCTGACATTCGAAATGTTCTCTGATTTCTCCATACTTCAAGTTTTCTAAGCCATATAATCAATTTTTATAATGTTTAATATGTATTGAATATTGAATGTATGTCATTCACTCTTTTACATATTTTAGCACACTCAAAACAATCTTGTTAATTAGGAGTCAATATCCATTTTACATGGGAAGAAACTAAAGGTCAGGCTGCATAAATGGCTTGCCAATGTCAAACAACTATTAATAATAAGAGGCAGAGTTTACCTAAACCCATGCCTACCTGTGCCTATGCCTGTGCTTTTCTCATTGTATTACACTGTTGCCAATGTACACCAGGTGTCATGATCATGAGTCATCCTTTTTAGAGATTTAATATTCTACTTTGTACTTTATTTCCATTAATTGCTATGTAGGAATAAGGATAGTAAATATTATTTACTTATGCACCCAAATGACTAGAATGTCACATAGAACTTGTGTTGACAACAGAAATGAAAATAATGTATAAAAGTCTAACACTAGTCTCTTCCTTTGGTGAGCTTTATTTTTTTGAATTAAAGACAAGGAAATAACTGGTGTTCAATAAAGATGATATGTGATGAAGACATTCTGACATCTAAAGCAAGTACTGGATGTGGATTCACAGTCTGAGTCCTTGTCTTGGGTTTTCCCAGTCACAACAGAGTCATTCAGGTGGCTCCTCAAGTCTTGGCATTTTCTGAGGGAGATGTTTGCCCAGCCCCCCACACAGGGTGCCTTGAGGATCAAGCATTTATAATATATGTGAAAATATAATCTAAACAAACAAGTAAATGTGGGTAATGAAATGACAATTTAATGTCTAAGCTCTTAATGACTTTAGGAAAAACACTAGTGCATGTTAGTGCTACATGTTAGTGTAAGAATTATGTAAACTGATAAGTTCTTTACATCTGATGAGTGAGGATGATTTTTTTTCCAGGTAGCATATTAACTGCCTAGATGTTATTCTCAACCTGAAAACAGTTTTGCTCTTGCTGAAAAGCAGCTGGTAATACAAATCACTCCCATTCTCTTAATGATACAGGGGCAAGATTATAAAATCATGAATTCTGATCCAAGAGATATTGCACAGAACCACAGCACCTTGCAAATAAATGAGCTAGTCATTTCCTGTATTGTATCCTTTGTACTAAGGGATAAGCATCTATGGCCAGCATTTTACAGAAGAGGTGCTAAAGAAGAGAAAAATCTTAAATTTCAGCACTGTACATAACAGTTATTGAAGAAGGAGGGAATAAAGAATCTCAGAGATTGGTATTAAAAGATCTAATGCTTCATTGATTACACAGGATAATTATTTTGGTCAACAGAGGATTCAACAATGAAAGATGGGGATATAATTGTAACCAGAAGAAAGATATACTTCAGAGATTCCTGGCTAAAATGTCCCACTAATTCAAGGAATGGGAAACAGTAAATCAATATAAGTGCCAAATTAATACTATTTGTAGCTTGTTGAATACATATTTATGTTTGAGTTAATAATTGTCTAGTAAAGACTGTGTAGTTTATTCTACTATGTGGTTTCAATTATAACTGTTTATGTTTGATTTAAAGAACATCAAATAAAGTACCACTAAAATAGTCATGTATATGGGTGCAACCCAATAGATAATTTCAGTCTAGAGTCTGATACCCAGATCAATAAACAGTAATTCTCCCATTACAGAATGATAATTTAATTACTTATTCTATGTCTCATATTAAGAAAGTGCTTTGAAAATTATTCCTATTGATCACATACGATTAAAAAGCATTCAAGTTATCCTCATTTAATCTTACAACATTTTTTATTGGGAGAAGGACACAATTACCCTAATCATTTACTGATGAGGAAGTTGAGGCTTTATGTGGTTCTATCACTTGTCCAAGATGATCTGAATGGGAAGAAACACACAGAGGTTTGAACCAGGCATTCTGACTCCAGAATGTGGACTATTGATTATGCATTGTTGGGTTTCTTACTATTCTTACCTTGTACATGGAAAAGAGTAAGTACATTTTTTTTAGATGAACATAGAGTTCTGGGCAGAATGCCAGGGCTTTAGTTCACAGCAATGCCTCAATTCCCGTTATCCAGACAGTTCTTTCTGCAGAGCTATTGATGAGAGAGAACATTGTCTTTGGTTTTATAGCTGGTGAACATTGGATAAGATATTCTCGGATATAGACTTGTGCTTTATCACTGAATGAAAATAACTAAAGCTACAGTAGTCAAGTACATGAACACTTTCAGAGTTCCGTCATCTATCAAGTCAAATAGTGATTTTTCAGTTTTCTTAGGCTTTCCATAAGACTAGGCCAGGAAATGCACAGTTTTACCAGTATCAGTCAATAAAAAATTGCTAGACAGAAATATCCTGAATGCATTGACCATACTTATCATTGTTAATCTGCCTCTTCCTAAAGCTGTAGACTTCCCAAGGTAAAGCAGACCAAAAGAGAAAATTAAAATGATGTTATTTAGCTATACTAATTAATTTCCTCAGAAGCATGTGAATTTGCCCAGTGAATATAAATACCTTGATGGTCAGTTTTGAAAATATTGATACTCTGTTAGGTTGAAAGTGAACTCCATAACAGCCATTCATTCATTTATTCACTCATTCAAGAATTATTGTTGAAAATTGATAAGTAGGGCCTAATTAAACTAAAGAGCATCTGAACAGCAAATGAAACTATCAATAGACTAAACAGACAACCCACAGAATGGGAGCAAGAGTCACAAACTATGAATAAGACAAAGGTCTAATATCCAGAGGCTATAAGGAACTTAAATCAACAAGCAAAAGACAAACAACCTCATTAAAATGGACAAAGGACATGAAAAAACACCTCTCAAAAGGAGACATACACGCAGCCCACAAGTATATGGAAAAATGCTCAACATCACCAATCATTAGAGAAATGCAAATCAAACACAGAATGAGACACCATCTCACACAAGTGATAATGGTTATTAAAAAGTCAAAAAATAATAGATGTTGGTGAGGTTGCAGAGAAAAACAAATCCTTATACACTGCTGGTGGAAATGTAAATTAGTTTAGTCACTGTGAAAAGCAGTTTGGAAAATTCTCAAAGAACTTAAAATAGAACTACCATTTGACTCAATAATCCCATTAATGGGTATATACCCAAAGGAATATAAGTCATTCTACCATAAAGACACATGCATGTGTATGTTCCTTGGAACTGTTCACAATAGCAAAGACAAGGAATCAATATAGATGCCCATGAGCAGTGGAGTGGTTAAAGAAAATATGGTACATATACACCATGGAATACTAAGCAGCCATAAGAAAGAATGAAATTATGTCCTTTGCAGCAATGTGGATGCAGTTGGAGGCTGTTATCCTATTTGATCTAATGCAGGAATAGAAAACCAAATACCACATGTTCTCACTTATAAGTGAAACTAAATAGTCAGCATACATGGACACAAAGAGGGGAACAATAGACATGGGAGCCTACTCAAGGGTACAGGGTGGGAGTAGAGTAAGGATCAAGAAAACTACCTACTGGGGCCGGAAGCAGTGGCTCATGCCTGTAATCCCAGCATTTTGGGAGGCTGAGGTGGGTGGATCATTTGAGGTCAGGAGTTCGAGACCAGCCTGGCCAACAAGGTGAAATCCCATCTCTACTAAAAATACAAAAAATCAGCCAGGCATAATGGCTTGTGCCTGTATTTCCAGCTACTGGAAAGGCTGAGGCAGGAGAATTGCTTGAACCCAAGAGGCAGGCGTTACGATAAGCCAAGATCATGCCACTGCACTCCAGCCTGGGTGACAGAGTGAAGCTTCATCTCAAAAAAACCAAATAACAACAACAACAACAACAACAAAGAGCTACCTATTGGGTGCTAAGCTCACTACTGGTGTGTTAAAAACATTTCTACAATGAACTCCAGCAGCAAACAATTTACCAATATAAGAAACCTACAGGTGTACTTCTGAACCTAAAATAAAAGTTGGAAGAAAAAATTAAATAATTTAAAATGTAAAAAATATATTGTTTGAAGCCAACGCCTCATTCTCAGATCTTGATTGCTTCCCCCTGCTCTCCTTCCTTAAGGCAACACCTGTCATTTAGTCTCAGTAGCTTTCTAGTGTTAAGTCTTTAAGAATTCTCCAGCAAGCCTGTGTGTGGATTAGGATCTCATCTTCTTATCAATCACCTTATTCCCCACAAAATATGAACAACCAACCCCCTTATTCTGTTCTCAAAACCAAGTAAAGAAGCCCATTCTTTGAGATAAGAGGTATTAATATTTCAATAGGCAATGAAGCAGATATTTTCAAATTGGAGGAACAAGCAAAGTCTTGAGCAGGATATAAAAATAAATTCACATTTATACATATTTCAATTAAGTTAAAGAACCCCAAAGACAAAAATAAATCTGAAAGTTACCAGAGAGAATATATTACCTTCAAAACCAACAATGAGATAAAAAGCAGATATATCATTGCCAGAAGCAGATGCCAGAAAATAATGGAAGGGATCATGTATTCAAAGGTTATTAGAAAAAAAATTAATCATTCATGGGGGAGGGCAGAGTAAAAATCTTCTGATACATACACAGATTTTCATTGAAAGATATAGTAAAAGCTTTATTTCAGAAAAGAAAAAGAAAAAGAAACACCAAAGGAAGGAGTAGATTTCCAAAATTAATTGGTGATAATATAGTTGACTTAAAAAAACTATGTTAGTAATTATTAATGACTACAGACTTTGAAAACCATAAAAGACATAAGGTAGTTGAAAACAAAGCATAAATAGAAGAATACAAATTAAAACCACAGTGACATCACACTTTCATATGTCAGACTAGCAATGAGCAAAGATTTTGATAATGTAGTGACTTGGCCAGTATATATGGAAATATTGATTCTGAAGTAGTGCTGGTGGGGTATAGGACACTTTCTGCAGATTACAAATGATATGGTTTGGCTGTGTCCCTGCCCAAAATCTCATCTTGAATTGTAGTCCCCATAATTCGCAGGTGTCATGGGAGGGACCCAGTCCTTGAATCATGGGGGCAGTTTGAATCATGGGGGCAGTTTCCCCCATGCTGTTCCCATGATAGTGAGTGAGTTTTTACAAGATCTGATGGTTTTATAAGCTTCTGGCATTTCCCCTGTTCACACTCACTCTCTCTCCTGCTGCCCTGTGAAGAGGTGCCTTAGGTCATGATTGTAAGTTTCCTAAGGGAGGCCTCCCCAGCCATGTGGAACTGAGTCAATTAAACCTCTTTCCTTTATAAATTACCCAGTCATGGGCATTTCTTTCTAGTGGTGTAAGAATGAACTAATACAACAAATTATTGTTCAAAATTTAAAATGTACATAATCTCACTCTAGATCTCCCTACACTGTCTTATTTTTTTCAAATAGCATTCATCACCTATTTGAAATTATGCTATCAATCTATCTGCTTACTTATGTATTTTCTGTTTCTTCCTCCTCCCCACTAAATTGTAAGCTCCATGAAGGTAGAAATTCGATTTCTTAGAGCAGTGTCCAGTATGTAATATTACTCAATCAATGTTCATGTAATAAATTGTGTAATTTAGTTCTCAACTTAAATATCATCTCAGAGTCTTTTGTTGTCTACTCTTTCTTCAGCCACACCCTGCCTTTGCTGATACTACTACATTACCTTGTTTTATTTTATTTATAACATTTCCACTAATCAAAAGCCTCATAACATATATTTGTTTACATGTCTTATTTTCTGCCTTTTCCTGTAAGTACAGATGCTTGGTGAGAGCAAGGGCATAGTGCATTTTGATCACTGCTCTACTGCCAGTTTCTAGAATGGATAGTAGGAACTCCAATGCTATTTACTCAATGAATGAATAAATGAACAAATGAATGAAATAGTTCAACCATTTTTATTTGTAGAAATAATATTAACAGGCAAGAGGAAGTCAAAAAATTTACAAGTCTCACCACACTGGCTCATTTCCCTTTGGAGATGGTCAATATCATTTTGCAGTTACTTCTGAGAGAATAGCTCACAAAACTCTTTTTTCTTCTCTCCAGTCTGAGTGAAGAACGAAGAGACTCCTTCTTCCCAGAGTGAGGATGCAGCAAGGGGAGAATAAATAGCATTCCTACTCTCTCTAGAGAACCGTTGGAAATTCTGAAAACCTTTCCCTGAACTCACTTCAGTTCAGTTCATCACACACAGTGTAGATTTATTTTTCTATTAACAATCTAAATATTATATTTTCTCACCATTCTACTTTTATGTTTCTCTTAGGGGTTAAAAAATAATACATTTTTACGGTGTATAGGAATTCTGGCATATAAATATATTTCTTTTTAAAGATATCATTCATAGAATTATAGTTGTGTTTATTTCTTCTTTACCCCATGGTTCCTGTTCTGTTAGGTTTATGAGCTGAAGTGTTCTACAGTTGTATTTCCTAGTAAGGTATGCATATGTGTAATAAGGGCTATAAAAGAAATACATTCAATGCTTTATGATTAACATTTTTTCTTCTAAAATAAAAAGCTTTTTATTTGCTGTAACTTATAACTTGATGTTGCCTTCTTAAAAGTAATAGCTATTATTTCTTAATCACTGTTAAGTCTGAAGAAAATTTGAACAGAAATTACAGGGAGTTTTCATATATTTTCTCTTCTCTCACCCTCTCATCCAGTTTCCTCAATTACACACCTCTCCATATATGTGGTTACAACTGATAACATTTATTACAACTGATAAACCAGTGTAGATACATTATTATTAACTAAAGTCCGCAGTTTACATTAGAGTTCAGTCTTTGTGTTGTATAGTTCTATTGTTTTTCTAAATGCATAAGGTTCATCATTGTATCCATATCTATAATAATATGGAACAGTACAGAATAATCTGTAATATCCACTATTACAGTATCATAGAGAATAGCTTTATGACCCTAAAAATCCCACATGTACTATTTATTCATCACTCCTCCCTTTCCAACCCTGGGCAACCACTGAGTCTTTTAATGTCTCTACAGTTTTTTCTTTTTCAGAATATTGCATAGTTGCAGTCATATAGTATGTAGTCTTCTCAGGAAGTCTTCTTTTACTTAGTTATATACATTAAAGTTTCTTCCAATTATTTTTATCATTTGATAGCTAATTTCTTTTCATCACTGAACAATATTCTATTGTCTGGATGTAGAAGAGTTTATTTACCCGATCACCTACTGAAAGACGTCTTGGTTGCTTCCAAGTTTTGGCAAGTGTGAATAAAGTTGCTATAAACAACTCGTGTGCAGGTTTTTTTTTGTGTGTGTGTGTGTGTGTACATAAATATTCACCTCATTTAGGTAAATATCTAAGAGACATAAGAAACTATGAAAGTGTTCTGCAAAGTGGCTGAATCATTTGCATTCCCACAAACAATGAATGAGAATTCCTGCTTCTCCATAATCTCACCCAGGATGTGGTTTGTCCGTGTTTCAGATTTTAGCCATTTTAGTAAATGTGTAGTGGTATCTCGTTGTTTTAATATGAAGTTTCTTAATGATACATGATATTGCAAATCTTTTCACAGACCTCTTTGCCATCTGTATGTTTTCTTTGGTAAAGTGTCTGTTCAGATCTTTTACCTACGTTCAAATTGAAGGTAAATTGGGTTGTTTGATGTCTTACTGTTGAATTTTAAGGACTCTTTGTATATTTTGAATATTAGTCCTTTGTCAGATGTGTGATGTGTGGTTTGAAAATATTTTTTCCCAGTCTGTGTCTTGTCTTTTCATTTTCTGAAAACTGTATTTTGCAGAGTGGAAGATTTTTATTTTAAAGAAGTCCAATTTATCAATTTTTAAAAAATTCATGGATACTGCCTTTGGTATTATATCTAAGAAATCATCACCAAACTCAAGGTCACCTATATTTTCTCCTATGTTATCACCCAGAAGTTTTATAGCAGGAGTCCCAACCCCCAGGCCACGGACAAGTACCATTCTGAGGCCTGTTAGGAACAAGGCTGCACAGCAGGAGGTCAGTGGCTGGCAAGAGGGGAAAGCTTCATCTGTATTTACAGCTGCTTCTCATCACTCACATTAGTGCCTGAGCGGCAGCTCCTGTCAGATCAATAGCGACGTTAGATTCTATTGTGAATTGCACATGTAAGGGATCTAGTTTGCAAGCTTCTTTTGAGAATCTAATGCCTCATGATCTGTCACTGTCTCCCATCACCCTCATAAGGGATGATCTAATTGCAGGGAAACAAGCGCAGGGTCCCCACAGATTCTACATTACAGTGAGTTGTGTAATTATTTCATTATGTATTATAATGTAATAATAATAGAAATAAAGTGCACACTAAATGTAATGCACTCGGATTATCCTGAGACCATCCGCCCTCCACCCCGTCTGTGAAAATATTGTCTTCCACAAAACCAGTCCCTGATGCCAAGAAGGTTGGGGGCCACTGTTTTATAGTTTTTAAGTTTACCTTTAGGTGTCTGATTCATTTTGAGTAAATTTTTGTGAAAGGTATGAGGTCAGTGTCTAGATTTATATTTTAGCATGTGAATGTTCACTCTTGTTTCATTGATTGAAACTTTATTCCTGTTGGAGAATTATGTGAAATAGAATTTCTGTGGTTAATTTTATTGGGTTTCAATTTAAGCTATTTCATAAATTATTATTAATTTTTTACAGGCATACCTCCTTGCCTTGTGCTTTATTGCACTTCTCAGATATTATGGGTTTTATTGCATAATATTTATATATATGTCTGGGGTCATGTGATATTTTGATACATGCATAAAATGCATAATGATCAATCAAGTCAGGGTATTTAGGATATTCATCACCTTGAACGTGTATCATTTCTTTTGTATTGGGAATATTTCAAATCTTTTCCTGAGCTACACTGAAATAAACAATATAGCGTTGTTAACTACAGTCACCCTGCTATGTTATCAAATACTATAACTTATCTCTTCTATCTAACTGTATGTTTGTACTTATTAGTCTACCTCTCTTCATCTCCTGATACCATCTCCCCTGTACACACAAACTCCCCAGCCTCTGGTAACCACTATTCTACTCTCTACCTCCATGGGATCAACTTAGCTCCCACATATGAGTGAGAACATGTGATATTTGTCTTTTTGTGACTGGCTTATTTTACTTAACATAATGATCTCCAGTTCTAACCATGTTGCTGCAAATGACAGAATTTCATTCTATTTTATTATGTAAGCCATTTCCTAAATTAAATGTGAATATTAATTGATTCAGCATAATGTAACATTTTAAATTCGGGCTGTGTATGTGTAAAGACAACTTTATCATTTTTTAATTGAATGAGATTTTTTTTTGTCCTCAAGTCAACTGAGATCATCATAACAACCTTCATTTACCAGATCACTTAAAACATTGATTATATCATCTTTTTCACTGTGGGCACTTAGAAGCAATATTTGCTTTGTTTACTTGTTTACAAGTTTTATCTCAGCAATAAACTGCTCTTGAGAATTATTGATTACCCTCAATTCTATTTAAACATTGATCCAGAAAATTCTTAATATCAGTCAGATTTTAGTGACAAAGTTGGACAGGACCAAAGTATCCTCAGTTGCGGCTGATGGAAAGTTTCCTGGGTAGCCTTACAACATTGGCCAGGAATGGGGAGAATTTAGCAAGATTCCACTGCTAAAAACTACCTTGACCTAACCACTTGTTGTTAAATCTCAGCAATACACACAATAAGGATGTAAAGGAGCAAATATCATAATGCAAAACCATAGTACCCCTTGATATTTAAATATTTTTCATATTCTCTCATTAAAAAATTTTATTATAATGGCATATAATACTGGTTTATGAAAATGGTAGATCTTCATACTGGTAAATCATGGGAATTATATACCTAAATACATTTCCTTGTCTGTTATCTAATGAGGACTGAAAGATTATTACTTATGAGGCTTTTAACTTGAGGTGATTAAAGTGCGCTGATTTATTGTGGGGTTACCTAAGGTGCTTACTTCATCTTCCTTGTGTTCATTTTTTGGTATTCAATTAGGGTTTTAAAAAATATATAACTTAAAGTGCCTTATAAACTACAAAATGTTTTTCACTTTCAAAGAAATATCTAAGAAATCTGCTAACTGTTGAATGCTCAGCACTGTAAACATGATAGAGATAAAGCAAGAAGACACAGGTCACCTTAAGCAGGAACTCTGCATTCAGAAAGTTTATCATTACCAAAACACATTTGAAGCAATCAAGTATTTAAAAGTCTGAAATAATGAATTGCTAAATTATTGGACACATGGATTCCAATACTGCAAGACACAGTTTAATAAGTGAAAGTTGGACTGACTATGGGAAGTTTCACAAAGGAGGTGGCAAGCAGAATAATGCTTCACCCCCACACACTCTATAATAAGTCTCTTCCAAGCCCTGACACCTGTGAATATGCCACCTTACATGGCGTAGGGGGCTTTGAAGATGTGATTACTGGGATGGACCTTGAGATGGGAAGATCATCCTCCATTATTTTGGAGGGCTTAATCTAATCATCTGGGTCCCTAAAAATAGAGAACATTTCCCAGATGTGGTTAGAGGGAGGGGTGACTATGAAAGAAAGAGTAGAGATTTGGTGAGGCTGGCTTTAAAGATGGTAAGAAAGGGGCCAAGCCAAGGAGTGTGGACAGCCACTAGGCAGGGAAATTGATTCTCCTCTAGAGCTTCCATACAGGAACACAGCCCTGCTGATGCCTTGACTTTCACCCAGAGACCCATGTAGGATTTCTTACCTTAGGAACAGTAACATAATAGATTTGTGGTGTTTGGAACTACTATATTTGTGATAATTAGTAAAGCCAGTAATAGAAAACTCATACTGAGGAAGGGGATATAAAGACTGAATTTGGATTTGAATATTGGATTTGAATAAGTGTTGTAAAAGCAAATTGGAATGAAATCCTGATTGTGGAGTGTTCCTGGCACTGAAGGAGACTGGCTTGACTGGAGTCGGGGAATCAGGCTTAATTGAGGTATAATCCTTCCCATCACTGCTGCAGGCACTGATGCAGCTGACACTTCTGAGTCAGAGGAAGATAACTCAGTGCCAGGAGCTGCGGTGGGTGCACAAGAGCTGCTGGATGATAACAGCAATTTTGCAACTTAACTACATTGGACACCAGTTGCCTGAAATTGCAAGTTTTTTACATAATCATAGATCATGATATTTAAGTCCAAAAAAGATATGAAGCAGTCACTTGATCCAGGCCTGTTTTTATGTGGCCAGTTGCTGTCATCCTTATGAATAAAATGCAGTAAGTGAGACCCAGAGGACAGCCATCCTCTGCCTTAGCCCTCAGTACAGTAGGTGGCTCTAAAATACAGGCCAGTAGCATCTTTAAATGGAAATCTTCAGAAAAAGAGAGATTCACATTTACTGAATATAGAAGTTTAAAAGATGACTCAGTATTTGTTCCTGTAATTAAAGCACTTTGAAATTTCACCTTAGTTTTTAAATAGCTCAGTGTACACACTGAGAGCTTAGTTTTTCTTTTTAAATAGAAACCCTAAATCCCAGAAAAATGTGAACAGCAAAAAACCCACTTGAACCCCATGATCACTTTCAATTCTTTCCTGAATTTTTTAACCAATGTATTGCCTGTGATTTCTTAATACTTATTGTATGCTTATACAGCCATGAACATAATGAAAAATCATCTTTTGAATGTATGAGTTAAAGGATTAATCTCATCTATCAATGTTTGTCAGTGTTACAAGAATAAACTTTAAGAGCAAAAGAATGACAACCCTAACCTTGCAATTGTGTTTAGAGGGAATGCCTAAAATATGCTAATATAAGCTTTTAGTAACACTGTTATTTATGGAAGAACATGCTGATCTTAAGTATGATTATAAGCACCATTATGTATTAGATGCCATTTATTTTGCTTTCCCCAGTCTGGCTTGAAGACCTAAGAGATTACGTATCATCTCAGCAAGTAGCCACTACAATATCTGAGCTAGGGGGAACACTGAGCACATTGCCCTTAAAGAGACTTAACGCTCTTAATAAGGATGTGAGCATTCAAGCATACATTCTTCCTAGCTGTGTAGCAACATTCCAGTAGACATAAAGCCCAGTTACAACACTAACATGGAGGCGATGTAAGTGGTAAAAGGACCTATGTTTTTGAGGTTAGACAGATTTAGGTTTGATTTTATCTCCCAATTAATTCATTTCTTTCTTTTTTTAATTTTCCAAGACAGAGTCTCACTCTATCACCCGGCTGGAGTGCAGCGGCGTGCTATCGGCTCACTGCAACCTCTGTCTCCCAGGCTCAAGCAATTCTCTTGCTTCAGCCTCCCGAGTAGCTGGGACTACAGGCACGTGTTACCACGCCCAGCTAATTTTTTTTTTTTTTTTTTTTTTTTTTTTTTTGAGATGGAGTCTCGTTCTGTCACCCAGGCTGGAGTGCAGTGGCGCGATCTCGGCTCACTGCAAGCTCTGCCTCTTGGGTTCATGCCATTCTCCTGCTTCGGCCTCCCGAGTAGCTGGGACTACAGGTGCCTGCCACCAAGCCTGGCTAATTTTTTTGTATTTTTGGTAGAGACGGGGTTCCACCATGTTGGCCAGGCTGGTCTTGAACTCCTGACCTCGTGATCCACCCTCCTCGACCCCCAAAGTCCTGGGATTACAGGCATGAGCCACCACGCCTGGCTCGCTCCTTCCTTCCTTCCTTCCTTCCTTCCTTCCTTCCTTCCATCCTCTTTCTTTTTCTTTCTTTCTTCTTCTCTTCTGTATTTATTTCCTTTCTTCTGTAAATATTTACTATTGTTTAGAATGTGCAAGGCTATCATTAAACTGTACCTTTTTAAGTAGTTATTAAGCTATAATCTCTGCTTTCGAAGAGCAAATGGTCTAGGAATACAACACGGTTGGCTGTGAGAACTTATACTGTTCAGCTTGTCTGAGCACCTAGTACTGAGCCTGGCTGCTTAGGGGTGAACTGAAGAGCAGTGTCCCTTTCCTTGATCCCATATTCTTTGCTGGCAATAATGCACCTATGAAAAACTTCTACCTCTCTCTCTCTTTTCTTACACCAAACATTTTGAATGATGATGGGGTAAGGTTGGGAAGAAACTCCTGAAATTTCCTTCCATGTAAAGAGGGATCTATTATCATGACATTCTGGGACATTCTCTGCCTCATCACCCTTTTATGCCCCAGTGAAGAAGAGGGACTTATGTGATGGGAGAGTTTAAAAGAAAAAATGGGTAAAAGGGAGCTGGCCCCTTAATCTCTGTCTCTTGGGCAGCCTTCTTCTGGAATTGAGAAGTCTCCTATCTCAATCCCCCAGGCTGTAAATTATAAGGGCCTCATTCCACGATACAAGTGTGCAGTGGTCCCCTTTTGCCTTTGACATCATAGGTAAGGCAATTTTATTGTGATGTCCATTATCAGAAAGCCCACTTACCTGCTGATAAAAGCCACATCCTCTGCTATCAGTAATAAAGATGATATTTTGGTGCCCATCTGCCTTTCTCAATTGGGTTAGAACTCAGGTGGAGAAGAGCAGTGATATTTATTGTGCCACCATGAATCCCATTAAATGATAATTATTGTTTCCTTGAGACTCTTTTGCAGAGAATAATTTTTAAAAATGCCACTTGAACCTAATGATTGCAGATGCTAGCATAATAGAAACAGACTGGGGTCACATGCTTCTCTCTCTTTTTCTCTGAGAGAAAGTAGCTGTTGCCTGATTCCTTTCTCCCAAAAGAGAGATTATAAAAGATCATGATGAGCCTCCTCCTTTATATTTTCTCTTTTCCTTATTTAAAAATTAATGGCATCATTCCAAAGGAGTTGTCATAGTTTCTCACTAATTTTCTTAATTACTGTTTTTAATGGTGTAGTTGCATTTTAGATATGTAATGTTTTTAATTTGTTTTAGCTTACTGTACCCTTGTGAGGTAAGACATCCACATTTTGCAGATTAAGAAATTGCCGGAAAAAGGAAGTGACTGGCCTAATGTCACACAGCAAAGTGTGAATTAGTTGGTGAATATGAAATTAGGCATAATTAGAACTCATCAGTAAGCTCATTCTTAAATGAAATCTACCTGGAGACCCATCAGTAGGAACAGCTGAAACTTTTTGAAATGTAGAGCAGGAAATTTGGCTTCCTGTTCTGCTCATTATAACTGAATTATTGAGACCTTTAACATAAAACTTGGTGTTTTTCTTTGGAGCCAGATCTGATTAGGAGTTCTAGCAATAGTTCCGGAAAAGACTGGAGACTTTAAAATGCATTTGTTCTGACTAGGAGTGCTCACCTATCATTAATTTTGTGTAACTGATGTGAAGGCTTAAAAAATGTTTCTTCTAATTCTTCATCATCGTATCATGTAGCAGCTTGTTGGAACTAGCTCTTCGTTACTTGTTAAAGCCAACTTAAATTCTCAGAAACTTTGCAAGCCATTTGTTAAACATAGCCATTTCTAAAAATTAAATTATGTAAACTTGAAATGTAAAAACTCTATTGACAACAAAGAAAATAAATGTCAATGTTTACCCCTTCCTAATATTTTATTATATTTTACTTTTATTTATGCTCTTGGGTTAGTCACTTTATACTGTCCTTATGGTGGAAATACTGTATAATTATGTGTTACTGAACATCTCTTTCCAACACTGCATTTAGCAGTTTTATGTCGGTAGCTTGAATTCAGCCATGGTGGGAATATTTACACCAAAGAAATCAGCAAATGCTACAAATCAGTACTTGACTTATTGTTGTGTTTATTGTCTGGGTGATAGAGAAAATGTTAACGATGTAGACTAAATTTCATTCTTTTCTATCTGTAGCTGCTACCTTGTGACTAGCCCCCAAAACTGAAGAAAGGTCTTTTTAGTATTCAAAAACTATTATTCAATGCAGCAAAAATTTGCTTACTGCAATGGTGAATGAGAGCAATTCCAACATTTGTCTTCATTATTTATTCTTCATTTTACTCATTAATAGAAACTAAACTGTCAATCAACATTCCTGTCAGAAATACATGTTTGCCAATTGAAACCATAGTTTTACTATGGATACAGGGGTTAAGCAAAAATTGAAAGCATACCATAAGAATCAATTGATAGAGAATTTACAATAAAAAGTGTTATATACAATAATCTGCTCTCATTTTTATGGGATACGTTCCAAGGTCCCCAGTGGATGCCTATACCTAACCCTATATGTACTATGTTTTTATGATCTGATAACCAATAGAGCTACTAAGTAACTAATAGGGTAGTATATACAGCATAAATACCCTGGACAAAGGGATTATTCACATCCTGGGCAGAACAGAGCATGACTGCACGAAGTTTCATCACACTTCTTAGAGTGACACACAGTTTAAAACTATGAATTATTGGCCGGGCGCGGTGGCTTATGCCTGTAATCCCAGCACTTTGGGAGGCTGAGGCGGGCGGATCACGAGGTCAGGAGATCGAGACCATCCTGGCTAATATGGTGAAACCCCGTCTCTACTAAAAATACAAAAAAAATTAGCCAGGCGTCATGGCGGGCACCTGTAGTCCCAGCTACTCAGGAGGCTGAGGCAGGAGAATGGCGTGAACCCGGGAGGCAGAGCTGGAAGTGAGCCGAAATCGCGTCACTGCACTCCAGCCTGGGTGACAGAGAGAGACTCCGCCTCAAAAAAAATAAAAAAAATAAAAAAAATAAAAAAAAACAACTATGAATTATTTCTGGAATTTATCATTTCATATTTTTGGACCAAAGTTGACTGCAGGTAACTGAAATAACAAAAAGCAAAACCATGGTTAGGGGGGAAACTACTGTATTTCATTTTTATTTGTAAATTGTAACTTTACTTCCATTACACTAGCAACATTCGTATATATAAATGGACACACATATACATTCACATATATATATATGTACACATTTCTTTCAGAGAGCTGATATGATGTGGGTTGAATAATGGTTCCCCCAAAAGATATGTCCCAATTCCCAGAACTTCTAAATATTGCAAAACACAGCAAAAGGATATTAACTAATATGGCAAAAATATGATTAAGGAATTTAAGAGGAGGTACTTTTGCCAGATAATCTGAGGGGGCCCTAAATGCAATCACATGTGTCTTTATAAAAGACACAGAGGAGAAAACACAGAGGAAGAGAAGGAAATCTAAGCACACAGGCACAGGTTGCAGCGATACAGCAGTAAACCAAGGAATGCCTGTAGCCACCAGAAGCTGGATGAGAAAAGAAACAGATTCCCGGCCAGAGCATCTAAGGGGAGAGCAGCCTTGCACTCTTAATCTCAGACTTCAGGCCTCCAGAGCTGTGAGAGAATAAATTTCTGTTGTTTGAAGCTCCTCAGTTCATGGTAGTTTGTTATGATGGCCCTAAGAAACTCATGCAGGGTGTAATTAATTTTACAAGCTGCTTTGGGCATGGGGTAAGGAAGAAATTAGGAGGATTCTAGTGTTTTAACTTCTGACTACTTACATGTTTATGTTTCTAGGCAATTCATTTTTACATATGGTTCCAGGGTAAAAATACAATTTATTTAAAGTCCGAGTCTATTCTAACCTTCTACGAATGTGCAGTGTGGCCTTTTAATCAATTTTCCTGAAATGTGGCTGCCCAGATTAAGCATCCTTCACTCCTCAACTAAGCTTCCCAAATGCTTCATATTAGAATGTTTTGTCCTCTCGTCTTTTTGACAACCTTTCTTCAGATTTCTTTTCTCCATACTTTTCTTTGCTACTCATTGCCCTTTAGCAATTTCACCACTATTACTGATATAGTTTCTTCTCTTATTAGTTTTTGACTATTGCATCTATTCTTTGCTCTGCATTATCGCTTTTCTAAGTAGTGCAATACCTTGGAATTATGAAGGGCTTGCGAATCTTTGCATCGGATTGATTTACTAATTTGGAGGTTATTTGCCTTCTCTATAATTCTATTGCTTTTCTGTCATGCTTTGACTCCATAGCTTGTTAGTATCTGTCCCAATAAGCCCCTCGATTCTGGTTGTCTTGGTGATGACTCTCTTGTGTTTGGTTTCTCTTGTGTTTGGTTTCTCTTGTGTTTGGTTTCTGTTGTGTTGTCTTTGTGCTGTACTCACTTTATTAATTTCACCGATGGAGGAGCAGAAATATACTGCCCGACAAGTTTTTTAAAAATTAAATTTAAATTTCCTGATATAAAATCTCAGTGTGCTAAAAACTAGGTTCTGCAATGATTTCTAAATAAATAAATAAATAAATAAATAAATAAATAAAACAAAACATAAGTTAGCCAAGATTTGTTGAGTAGCACCAGTATGCCTATGTTTGGCATTGGATACAAGACAAAAAACAAAACTGTGAAGGAGACTCCTGTCCTCCAGACTCTGGCTTCAAGCACTGGCAAGTGCTTTATAAATTCATCCAGATATTTTATCTGTAGCAATTCCGGGGTGTCTTCCATTAGTTTCCATAGGAATAAACACAGTTTCATTGCACAAAAATAGATTAATGGTCCAGGAAATTTCCTTCACTACTTGGAAATTTACAAGGGCAAGCTCACATTATGCTTGGAGCCCTCTTTATAATCTGTGGATTTGCTGTTTATAGAAAACTCTGAATATGTTCAAGTATTCAATCTCTTTCTAACCACTTTCTCAGTTACTTATAAATGACTATGTTTAGGTTTCCCCCATAGTTGAAATTACAGCCTTTTCAAAAAATTTGTAATTTGGCTATCTTCATTCAAAAGGCAGAGAAAAGCAACACATTAAGACATTTACCATTTCCTGATTCTGCTTTTCAATTTGCAGATCAGTTTGTAGTCAGATTTAATGATATTTCTGCCTTTTATTTCCTGTGATTTTAAACTTAGTCATATTCTAGGAACTATCGTTCTGTTGTTTAGTGTCTGCATTTATAGTAGTTCCCCTCAAGACCATAAAATTATCATCTTTAACTACATCCTTTGACTTTGTGCCACATAATTTTAGTTTTAATACATCCTTTCTATGATGAGTTTAAAGGGAACATGAGCTATGCAGCAGGACACGTTCATAAGAGGGCTTACAGGTCTGTGTAGCATCTCACAGAAGCTAGGAAAATGTTTCTTACAATAGCTTTCTTAAGGTATAATTGACATACGATCAATTGCAAATGTTTAAACTGTAAAATATGTTAAGATAAAGATATAGATATATGTGTAAAACCATCACCACAATCAAAATGATGTGCGTATTCATCATCCCCAAATGTCCCCACACTGCTCTATGATCCTCTGTCTCAGCCCTACCCATCCATCTCTCACGCCTGCCAATCCTGGATCCGCTTTCTTTTTATATAGATGAAGAGTCTGTATTTTCTGGAATTTTAGGTTAAAATTACAGTGGATACTGTTTTGTCTGATTTCTTTCAGCATAATTATTTCTGGGACTCATTCCTATTATTGTGTATATTAATGGTTCATTCCTTTAGATTGCTGGATATTTTCCACTGTTTGCGTATACAATTTATTTATTCATTCGCCTGTTAATAGACATTTGGGTTGTTTTCATCTTTGGGGTGTTGTAAATACAGTTGCACACATTTGTGTACACATCTTTATGGAAATATACTTTCATTTATTTGGAAAACAGTTATGAATGGAAAGGATGGGCCATATGATAGGCATGTGTTTATCATTTTACATAAATGTCAAACTCTTTTTTTTTTTTTGATACAGTCTCGCTCTTTCACTCAGTCTGGAATACAGTGGCAAGATCTCAGCTCACTGCAACCTCAGCCTCCTGAGTAGCTGGGACTACAGGTGTGCACCACCACATGTGGCTAAATTTTTATTTTTATTTTTATTTTTATTTTTATTTTTATTTTTAATTTTGTTTAGTAGAGATGGGGTTTTGCCATGTTGGCCAGGCTGGTCTCGAACTCCTGACCTCAAATGATATACCTGCCTCAGCCTCCCACAGTACTAGGATTACAGGCTTGAGCCACTGCACCTGGCTGGAAATGCCAAAAACTCTTTTCCAAAGTGATTATGTTTCCACTAGCAATGAGTTCCATTTTCTCTACATTCCTCACCATTACTTTTGGATTATAGGCGTTATAATAGGTTTGTAATGGTATCTTCTTGTGGCTTTAATATTCCTTTTCCTAGTGATTACTAATGTAATGTTGAACATTTTATTCATATGCTTACTTGCCATCCATATATCTTCTTTCATGGACTGTCTATTCAAATATTTTGCTCATTTTTAATTGAGTTGTCTATTTTCTTATTATTTGGTTATGAGAGTTTTTTTTTTAACATATTCTGGGCACAAGTCACTAACCGGATACATGTTTTGCAAATATTTTTCTCCCAGCTTGTAGCTTAATTTTTATTCACTTAACAATGTCTTTAACAGAGCAGAAGTTCTTAAAATTATGAAGCCCAAAATACCAATTTTTTTTTTATGAATCATGCTTTTGTTGTATTTAAGACATCTTCTAATAAAAAATCACAGTTTTTTTCCTGTATTTACTTCTGCACATTTTGTAGTTTTAGATTTTACATTGTGTATGAGCAATTCTTAGTGCCAGATATAGATTGAAGTTGTTTTTTACACAACTATCCAATTTTCAGCACCATTTGTTGCAGAAATCATTTATCTACTGAGTATCTTTTGCACCTTTGTCAACAATCAGTTGTCCATATACATTTGGGACTTTTCTTTTTTGCGGACTCTATTCTTTTCCACTGATCTATATCTTTATACCAGTACCATACTGTCTGGATTGCTGTAACTTTATAATAATTTTAGATGTCGTGTAGTTCTCCAACTTTGTTCTTTTTTTTCAAACTGTGTTTATTGTTAGCTGTTTTAAGAATTTTGCATTTCCATATGTATTTTAAAATGAGCTTGCCAATTTATACAAAATCTCTGATGAGATTTTGATTGAGATTATTTTGAAACTACAGATTAAACTGGGAAGAATGATCATTTTAAGAATATTAATTCTTATGAATTAATAATTAACTAATAATTAATTTTTCTACCTACTCTGAAGAATAATTACTCCTTCTTAGTCACATGAATATCTGTATCTCTTGATTTATTTAGGTTTTCTTATTTCCGCCAGTAAATGTCTTGTAGTTTTCAGTCCACAGGTCTTACATAACTGTTGTTAGATTTTTCGCAAAGCATTTTATATTTTCTCATGCTACTGTAGATGCTATTATTTTATTTCATTTCAAATTCCTTTTTATAATTTTCACGTTTATTTTAGGTTCAGGGGTATATGTGCAGGTTTCTCATATAGGTGTAATGTATGCTGCTGAACTTTGAGATACAGATTCTTCCATCACTCAGATAGTGAGCAGTTCATTTCTCAACCGTTGCCTTCCTCCCTCCCTCTCCATGTTTAGTAGCTCCCAGTGTCTATTGTTTCCATCTTTATGTTCGTGAGTACCCAGTGTTTTGCTCCCATTTATAAGTGAGAACATACAGTATTGGTTTTCTGTTCTCCTGTTAATTCACTTAGGATAATGGCCTCTAGCTGCATCCATGTTGCTGCAAAGAATGTGATTTCATTCCTTTTTATGTCTGCATAGGATTCTGTGATGTATATGTACCACATTTTCTTTATCCAGCCAGCTCTTGATGGACACCTACAATGATTGCATGTCTTTGTGACTGTGAATAGTACTGTGATGAACACGCAAGTGCATGTGTCTTTTTGATAGGATGATTTATTTTCTATTGGGTATATACCCAGTAATGGGATTGCTGGGTCAAATGGTAGGTATGTTTTAAGTTCCTCGAGACACATCCAAAATGCTTTCCACTGTGGCTAACCTAATCTATATTCTTGACAATGGTGTATTAGTATTCCTTTTTCTCTGCAACCTCACCAGCATCTGTAATTTTTTGACTTTTTTGTAACACCCATTCTGACTGGTGTAAGATGCTCTCCTATAGTGGTTTTGTTTTGCATGTCTCTTATAATTAGTGATGTTGAGCATTTTAAAAATATGTTTGTTTGCTGCTTGCATGTATTCCTTTGAAAATTGTTCATGTCCTTTGCCCACTTTTTAATGGGGTTATTTTTTCTTTTGCTTATTGAATTGTTAACGTTCCTTATAGATTCTGGATATTATAATTTTTAGATGCATAGTTTGTGAATATTATCTCCCATTCTGTAGGTTATTTGTTTACTCTGTTGACAGTTTCTTTTGTTGTGCAGATGCTCTTTAGTTTATTTAGTTCCCACTTGTCAATGTTAGATTTTGATGAATTGCTTTTGAAGACTTAGTCATGAATTATTTCCCAAGGCCTATGTCCAGAGTGGTGTTTTCTAGGTTTTATTCTATGATTTTTTTTCCCTTTTTAGCCTGCTTTATTGTTTTTTTTAATTATTGTACTTTAAGTTCTAGAGTACATGTGCACAACGTGCAGGTTTGTTACATATGTATATATGTGTCATGTTGGTGTGCTGCACCCATTAACTGGTCATTTACATTAGGTATATCTTCTAATGCTATCCCTCCCCCATCCCCCAATCCCACCACAGGCCCCAGTGTGTGATGTTCCCCTTCCTGTGTCCAAGTGTTCTCATTGTTCAATTCCCACCTATGAGTGAGAACACGCGGTGTTTGGTTGTTTGTCCTTGCGATAGTTTGCTGAGAATGATGGTTTCCAGCTTCATCCATGACCCTACAAACGACATGAATGCTTCCTTTTTATGGCTGCATAGTATTCCATGGTGTATATGTGCCACATTTTCTTTTTTTTTTTTTCATGGTAAAGACTGCTTTATTGGCGGCAGTTACTACAAGTCAATAAATATTGATCCCCAAAGAAGAACTCATTTATCAGATTTCTGGTCCATAGAGAGCTGAATGAATGTGAACCAAGTGATTGCTGGGATGATTGAAGTCACTCCTTTATTGGGAAATGAAGCCACAGCCAGCTGATATATGGCATATGCTGTTCCACCAACTGTAAGAATCATGGTGGCTCTATGAAGGAGGGCATCAGCTATCCCACCCTTTAGATACAGTGGAATTCCATCATCCTCCTGGAACAGTTTTTGTTTCTCTGGAACTTTATTTTTAAAATGCCTGTGGGAAGCAGTGCTTATGGTCCTCTGCCCAATCTGATGAAGAGCCAGCAGATTCCACAGCATCTTGGCTGTTACTGACCAGCAACCGCCACAACTGCCACATTTTCTTAATCCAGTCTATCATTGATGGACATTTGGGTTGGTTCCAAGTCTTTGTTATTGTGAATAGTGCCACAATAAACATACGTGTGCATGTGTCTTTATAGCAGCATGATTTATAATCCTTTGGGTATATACCCAGTAATGGGATGGCTGGGTCAAATGGTATTTCTAGTTCTGGATCCCTGAGGAATCGCCCCACTGTCTTCCACAATGATTGAACTAGTTTACAGTCCCACCAGCAGTGTAAAAGTGTTCCTATTTCTCCACATCCTTTCCAGCACCTGTTGTTTCCTGACTTTTTAATGATCACCATTCTAACTGGTGTGAGATGGTATCTCATTGTGGTTTTGATTTGCATTTCTCTGATGGCCAGTGATGGTGAGCATTTTTTCATGTGTCTGTTGGCTGCATAAATGTCTTCTTTTGAGAAGTGTCTGTTCATATCCTTTGCCCACTTTTTGATGGTGTTGTTTGTTTTTTTCTTCTAAATTTGTTTAAGTTCTTTATAGTTTCTGGATATTAACCCTTTGTCAGATGGGTAGATTGCAAAAATTTTCTCCCATTCTGTAGGTTGCCTATTCGCTCTGATGGTAGTTTCCTTTGCTGTGCAGAAGCTCTTTAGTTTAATTAGATCCCATTTGTCAATTTTGGCTTTTGTTGCCATTGCTTTTGGTGTTTTAGACATGAAGTCCTTGCCCATGCCTATGTCCTGAATGGTATTGCCTAGGTTTTCTTCTAGGGTTTTTATGGTTTTAGGTCTAACGTTGAAGTCTTTAATCCATTTTGAATTAATTTTTGTATAAGGTGTAAGGAAGGGATCCAGTTCCAGCTTTCTACGTATGGCTAGCCAGTTTTCCCAGCACCATTTATTAAATAGGGAATCCTTTCCCCATTTCTTGTTTTTGTCAGGTTTGTCAAAGATCAGATGGTTGTAGATGTGTGGTATTATTTCTGAGGCCTGTGTTCTGTTCCATTGATCTATATCTCTGTTTTGGTACCAGTACCATGCTGTTTTGGTTACTGTAACCTTGTAGTACAGTTTGAAGTCAGGTAGCGTGATGTCTCCAGCTTTGTTCTTTTGGCTTAGGATTGACTTGGCAATGTGGGCTCTTTTTTGGTTCCATGTGAACTTGAAAGTAGTTTTTTCCAATTCTGTGAAGAAAGTCATTGGTAGCTTGATGGGGATGGCGTTGAATCTATAAATTACTTTGTGCAGTATGGCCATTTTCATGATATTGATTCTTCCTATCCATGAGCACGGAATGTTCTTCCATTTGTTTGTGTCCTCTTTTATTTTGTTGAGCAGTGGTACGCAAATCAATAAATGTAATCCAGCATATAAACAGAACCAAAGACAAAAACCACATGATTATCTCAATAGATGCAGAAAAGGCCTTTGACAAAATTCAACAGCCCTTCATGCTAAAAACTCTCAATAAATTGGGTATTGATGGGACGTATCTCAAAATAATAAGAGCTATTTATGACGAACCCACAGCCAATATCATACTGAATGGGCAAAACCTGGAAGCATTCCCTTTGAAAACTGGCACAAGACAGGGATGCCCTCTCTCACCACTGCTATTCAACATAGTGTTGGGAGTTCTGGCCAGGGCAATCAGGCAAGAGAAAGAAATAAAGGGTATTCAATTAGGAAAAGAGGAAGTCAAATTGTCCTTGTTTGCAGATGACATGATTGTATATTTAGAAAACTCCATCATCTCAGCCCAAAATCTCCTTAAGCTGATAAGCAACTTCAACAAAGTCTCAGGATACAAAATCAATGTGCAAATCATAAGCATTCTTAGACACCAATAACAGACAAACAGAGAGCCAAATCATGAGTGAACTCCCATTCACAATCGCTTCAAAGAGAATGAAATACCTAGGAATCCAACTTACAAGGGATGTGAAGGACCTATTCTATGATTTTTATAGTTTGAGTTCTTACAATTAAAACTTTAGTCTATCTTGAGTTAATTTTTGTATGTGGTGAAAGTAGGGGTCCAGTTTCATTCTTCTGTGCACGGCTAGCCAGCTCTGCCGCACCATTTTTTGAATAGGGAGTTCTTTCTTCATTGCTTATTTTTATCATCTTTGTCGAAGGTCAGATGGCTGTAGATGTGCAGCTTCATTTCTGGATTCTCTATTTTGTTCCATTGGTCTTTGTATCTATTTTTGTATCAGTACTATGCTGTTTTGGTTACTGTAGACTTACAGGATACTTTCAGCAAACTAGAAATAAGTTAGAATTGTCTTCATCCGGTATAGGACAGTTAAATATATAGCTAACATCATGTTTATTAGTGAAAGTTTGAATGATTTCTCCCTAAAATAAAAAAAATAGACTAATATTTCCACTCTCTCCACCTTTGTTCAGTATTTTACTGGAGGTTCTACAAAATGCAATAGAGAAAGTTAAAGAAATGGTTGTCATCTTTATTTGATAAAAAGAAGTAACTGTCTTTATTTGCAGTCACCATCACAGTCAATGTAGAAAATCTGATGGGATAGACAAAATAAGCAATTAGAGAATTTAGAAAGGTCGTAGGTACAAAATCAACACATAAAAAATCAATTGTATTTTTATATACCAGACACAACGAATTAGAAATTGAAGTCAGGTAGCTTGATGCCTCCAGCTTTGTTCATTTTGCTTAGGATCGCTTTGGCTATTTGGACTCCCGGTAGGTTCCATATGAATTTTAGAATACTTTTTTCTAATTCTGTGAAAAATGAGTTGGTAGTTTGATAAGAATAGCGTTGAGCCTGTAGATTGTTTTGGGTAGCATGACCATTTTAATGATATTGATTCTTTGAATCTATAAGCATGGAATGCTTTTCTATATGTGCCATCTATAATTTCTTTCTTCAGTGTTTTGTAGTTCCCCTTATAGAGATCTTTTGCCTCCATGGCTAAGTATATCTCTATGTATTTTGCTTTTTTGTAGCTATTGTACCTTCTTAGATAGTTTCTAGTACTAAGTCTTCAAGTTCACTAGTTTTTTCTCCTACAATGTCCAACTGTTGTTAATTGCTTCCAGTGTAATTTTTGTATCAAATTGTAATTTTATTCTCTAGAAATTCAATTTGGGCCTGTCTAAAATGATCATTCATCTCTCTAGTTGACATGTTTTTCATGTCAAGGTTTCCTCTAGTTTCTTGAATACATGAAATATAATTGCAATAATTATTTTAAAGCCTGGACTGCCAATTCTGTCATCTATGTCATTTCTGGCCCAATTTTAATGAATTGATTTTTTTCTTTTTTTAATTATACTTTAAGTTCTGGAATACATGTGCAGAACGTGCAGGTTTGTTACACAGGTATACATGTGCCATGATGGCTTGCTATACCCATCAACCCATGAATTGATTTTTTTCTTCTTCATGAGTCTTATTTTTCTATTTTTTTAAATGCTGAGTAATTTTTTAAAGATTTTGTTTTTTTAGAGTAGTTTTAGTTTCACAGCAAATTTGAGCAGAAGGTACAGAGATTTCTTATAGAATTCCTGTTCTCTCTCATGCACAACCTCCCTCATTATCAACGTCCTCCATCAGAGTGATGTATTTGTTACAATTGATTCCTCTATATTTACACATCATCACTCAGAGTCTGCAGCTTATGTAAGGCCCACTCTTGGTGTTGTAAATTCTACAGGTTTGGAAAAATTTACAATCACATATATCTACCATTATAATATCATACAGAGTATTTTCACTACACTGAAAACCCGCTATGCTCTGCCTATTTGTCCCTCCCTTCCCCTACCTCTAGGAACCACTGACCTTTCTACTGTATCCATAGTTCTGTCTTTTTCAGAATGTCATATACAGGTACTCATACAGTGTGTAGCTTTTTCAGATTAGCTTCTTTTGCCTAGTAATATGCATTTGAGGTTCCTTCATGTCTTTTAATAGCTTGATAGTTCTTTTATTTAGCATGGAAAAAACATTCCATTGGCTGGATGTACCAGAGTTTATTTATCCATTCACCTACTGAAGGACATGTTGGTTGCTTCCAAGCTTTGGCAATTATGAATGAAGCTGCTATAACCATCTGTGTGCAGGTTTTTGTGTAGATATAAATGTTTAACTTTTTAAAATAAATACTTAAGAGTTTGATTTTTGGATCATATGGTAAGAGCCTATTTAGTTTTGTAAAAAGCTGATAAACTGTCTTCAAAAGTGGTTGCACCAATTTGCATTATTGCCAGCAATAAATGAGAATTTCTGCTGCTCTACATCCTTGCCAGAATTTGGTATTGCTAGCGTTCTGGGTTTGGGCCCTTTTAATTCTTGCCAGAATTTGGTGTTGTTAATGTTCTGGGTTTGGGCCCTTTTAATACATGTTCAGTGGTATTTTATTGTTGTTTTAATTCACGCTGCCCTGATGACATGATGTGGAGCATTTTTTTTTATATATGTATTTGCTGTATGTATATCTCTTTGGCGAGGTACCTGTCCAGATCTTTTACCTACACTTTAATTGGGTTGCTGTTCTCTTTTTGTTGCATTTTACAGGTTCTTTGTGTATTTTGGATAATAGTACTTTATCAGATGTGTCCTTTGCAAATCTTTTCTCCTAGTTTGTGACTTGTCTTTTCTTTATCTTGACAGTGTCTTTTAATTTTAATAAAGTTCTCCTTACCAGTTCTTTCTTTCATAGATAATGCCATTGACATTGTATAAATAAAGTAATTGCCAAACCCAAGATCATCTAGAATTTCTTCTATGGTATCTTCTAAAAATTTTATAGTTTTGCATCTTACATGTAGTTATCTGATCCAATTTTAGTTAATTTTTGTGAAGGGTGCAAGATATGCTCAGGTTGTTTTTTGTTTGTTTTCTTTTTTTTTTTTTTTTGTATATAGATCTTCCAGCACCATTTGATTTGTTGAAAATTCTCTCTTTTCTCCATTGTATTGCTTTTGCTTCTTTGTCAAAATTAATTGACTATATACATGTGAGTCTATATCTGGGTTCTCTATTGTGTTCAATTGATCGATTTGTCTCTTCTTTCACTAATATCACACTGTCTTGATTACCGTAGTTTGATAGTAAGTCTTGAAATTTGTTCTTCAACTTTGTTCTTTTTCTTCAATACCACATTGGCTATTCTGTGTTTTTGGCCTCTCTCTATAAACTTTACAATTAGTTTCTTGATATACATAAAATAACATGCTGGTAATTTGTTTGGGATTTTATTGAATCTATGGATGAGGTATGAAAAACTTGACAGCTTGACAATATTATGTCTTCCTATTTATGAATGTAAAACATCTCCACTTGTTTAGTTCTTTGATTTCTTTCAACAGAGTTTTGTAGCTTCCCTTGTATACATCTTGTATTTTATTAGGTTAATACAATAAATATTTTATTTTGGGGGTTGCTACTGTAAAAGAAATTGTGTTTTTAATTTCAAATTACTCTTGTTCATTGCTGAAATACAGAAAAGCAAGTGACTTTTGTATTAATCAAGTATATTAATCTTGTATTCTACAACCTCGTAATCACTTATTATTTTGAGTAGTTTTTTGTCAATTTTTAAAAATGATGCCATTGTGAGGAAAAGCAGTTTTATTTATTCTTTTCCAAATTGTATGCCTTTTATTTCCCTTTGTTGTCTTACCACATTAGCTTGGATATAATTTTTATTGGATTACAGACAATACACATTTTACTTTGTTTTGTACTGGTTGTTTCATATTTCTGAAAATATTCTTGAGATGTCTTTTGTAATGTGGTAAAGTTACTTGGAAATAGCTTCTGTTGTGTGTGTGTGTGTGTGTGTGTGTGTGTGTGTTAGGATGGAGGTGGCTTTATGCTTTGTTAAATAAAACTAAAACAGTATTTAGTCTTGGGTAAATTTTCCCTATTATTTGCTATTCTCCTTGATGCCCTGTGAATTATGAGGTTTTCCACTCAAGAATTTGGGAGGAACCCTCTGTGTGCCCTGCACACTGTTCCTTCCAATGCAGAATTTCTCAACCTCAGCATAATTGTGATTTTAAACTGGACAGTTCATTCTTGCCAGAGGCTCTCCTGGGATTTATAGGATGTTTATCAACATCCCTGGACCCTATCTACTTGATGTTAGTAGCAACCTCACCCTAAGTTGGGACAAGCAAAAATATCACAAGATATTGCCAAATATACCCTGAGAGACAAACCTGTCCCCAGTTGAAAATTGCCACTCTTAACGTTTGTGAGCAGTCCTTTTTTTGATCTCAGGTAGATTTCTTGCATGCCTGTGCTGATCACAGAATACCTGAAGAAGGTACTTCAAAGATGTTTGGAGTTCTCTCTGTGCACCTGTGTTCTCTGTGTTTCTCTACCTGTAAATTCTAACCATGTCACTTTTTTTTCCCAACTCCCTGCTCTTTCTCCTCAATGTAGAAAGTCTGCTGGGCTATTTTCTTTGTTACTTCTCCATCTGGTGCAGCCTAGAAAGTTTCTCTAAGCAGCACATTCAGCAATTATAGGACTTAATTCATTTTTTTTTGTCTTTAGGGATCGTTGGGTTTCTTTCGCTTGTTATTCAATCAGTCATGTATTTTCTTTTCTGGATTATTAGTTGTTTTAGACAAGAGAGTAAATCTGATTCCTGTTACATAATCTTGGCCAGGAAGAGTAGTGTCTTATGTTTGCAAATACATAAATACTATACTATTATATTATTCACATATTTACAGTGTTCTGGCATGTTTAAATTAAACTAATTTTATTTTAAATTATATTAATTTAAATTAATTCATTAAATTAAATTATTTAAATTAAATTAATTTTAGTTTTAAAATTTATCCCCTGCTAATTCTCTGTACTTAGAAAAAAAAGATTATCCCAATAAAATTTGTCCTTATGTTGGGAATGACTATCTTGTCACAATTTTTATTTAAGAATTATAGATCTAACAGTTCCGCTTATCCTAAAATAAAATCCAGAACTGACTCACCAGATTCTACTTGCAAAAATAACTAGGACTTTTGACTTGAATTATTATATTCTTATCAGTAGGATGGTAAATCATAAATACAAATCAAAGGCTAAAAGTGACTTTATATTAAGTTTTAACAACTAACCAGAATTGGAATCCTTAAAATATAATTAGAAGAACTTTAAGTGATTGCCATTAATATATTTTATTAAATTTTCTTCTATAATTGAAAGGTAAGAAAAATGTATGCAAACATTTTTGCAGTATTTTCTAATACTGCAATAATTTGAACTTGATACTATTAAATTATTCATCTTTTGCTCCTGCCTGTTTACTTTTGGTAGTTCTCAGACTCCATCCTGCCCAGCTTACATTGGCATTCCCAGATAATTGTTCAAGTTTCAAACATACTTCAATTTACTCCCCTTTTATTGGAACTCAGGACATACCTTATCTAAGAAAAAAGTACCACTAATGCAAAAAATAAATCTGTATTTATTTGTAAATAGGAGCTAATTATCTTTTGCTATACTTATCACCCTAATATAGGCATTTTAATTCAACATGATTCATTTATATCTACAATGCTACAGTCATAAATTTGTATGCTGGAATATAGCTTTAGCCAATTTCTTCATGCAAAACATAGTGATAATGTTAAGTAATTTAGATATGCTTTAGGGGCAAGAGGAGGATTTTTACATCTTTGCTGTCACTTCATATAAGTTGTTTTTATTCTGCTTACCATAGGCCAATCAAAATTTGGAGATAAACCTTATTAAGTAAGGAATATCCATAGAGTAGATACGTGGTATTTGCTTTCTTTTTCTTTTAAGAAGACATTTCAACCCAAAATTTTCTTGGTGTTCCTTGGGATGATAGAGTAATTTTCATAATGGACTAAAATCTGTTAGAAATAGCAAAACATAAAATTGTCCTTTATACGAACAAACTGAGTACACATTGCACCTACATACAATCTGTCACCATAGCATAGCATTTTGCACAGAATAGGATGTGCAGCTGTGTTTTCATAACACAATACAGTTCCATCATCCCACACAATGTTTGGATACTCTTCCAGAGGGTCTGAAATATGCCTCTAGATAAACCACTGGCAATCTCTAAAATTCTGCCTTTCCCCACCATCCCCAGCTAATTATTTTTACCTATTTAATTAGTTTCTTTATTATTGAAGTTCTACTTCCTTTCTAATTTTTATTAGTTTAATTAAAGTTACTAAATAGTACTTTAAAACATGTATGTTTTACATTTTATAATAATGTTCTTGTTTGATGTTCTTGGATTAAATTCATTTTTTAAATAGAAAAGTTTAATTACATCTCAGAGAAAAGTTATTTTGCCTAAAGTTCATATGACTTTGAGTTCGACCTTTGTCAAATATTTATATTCTCGCATATAACCTAGTCCAGACCATCTACTTCACAGAGACACTATTAATGTGTTTTGAAAATTTGTTTTATATCTTCAGTCTATTGTATGCTGGCCCAAACCAGTTTTGACATTCACAATTACTAGTTTTTTATTTGTTTAATAAATACCATTAGCCTCCAATAACTAGTTAGGTGAAAGCCATTAAGTTTTTTGTTTCTTACAATGCCACTACCAGATAGTAAATAAGATAAATATGAATTTCAGAATACTAATACACATGCAAATATTTATTAGGAAACAGTGACAAAAACAGTCATATCACCTTTTCTTACAAGTTCAGTAGAGTCCAATTTGTTATCATTTTGGGGATTCTAGTGAGAATCTTGCGTCTCAAGGCATAAATGACAGTCTTCTAGTAGAAGAACTCAGCTGTTCATCTGGTTCGAATATAGTTACATAATTATTTATTCCATGTCTGAATGAAGGGCTGATTCAAGAGTTTTGGGCCTAGGATGTTACTCTGAAAGGTCCAACATGCTAACCAAATCAAGATACTTTGAATAACATCACCAATGAAAAATCATTTCTAACATCTCCTGTATTAGTTAAACTCACAAGAACTAAAGATCATGGAACACATTTGAGTGAAATATGGCATTTGGCTAAATCTGGCTAAACTAACCAATCATCTCTGAAGTATGTATTCCTAATTAAAGTTATTCAAATTAAGCAACAGCCATTAAAATACAGATTAAAGTTAACTTACACACACACACACACCCAATTGAGACTTTTAAACATAAGTTACAGCTGTATGACAAAGGCTACATGCATAGAATCCATGATATAAATATATTCCAGATCCACTTCTCTAAAACAAAGCTTTGTTCTTCTTTTTCATCTACTCACTTCCTGCTCAAAAAAGTTCAGTTGGAATCTATGATCTACACAGTTAATGCCAAACACCTCAGCCTGACAGTAATGGGCATCCAAGATCTGATACCATCTACCTCACAAATCTTAACTTTCACCACTTCTCTAATGATCTCTTTCACTAACTGACATTCTTTCCAGTTTTATTTTTCTCTCACTGTTAAATTTTTTTCTTCTTCATCTCCGTTAGTAAACTCTTATTCTTCATAAATGCTATGACACCAGTTTTTCCTCTGCTGTCTTCTGCACATTTTCCTGTGGCTAACTAATATGCTCATTGGACTTCAACAACCACCATGTGCTGAGTCTAAAAAGGAAGTGAGGGAAAGAAGAAAAGCAGGGGAAATAGCAGGAGCATTTGGGATGAGAAGGAGCAGAGTTCTGATGGACAGAAATCTTCAAACTCAATCCCAGTGGCCGAATTCAGAATCACTTAAAAATTCAAGGTTTACATTTCTTGCAAAAATGACAATTTGGAGAAAGACCAAAGGCCAAAGAAGAAAAGGGACATTTGGCTGGGCATGGTGCCTCATGTGTGTAATCCCAATGTTTTGGGAGGCTGAGGCAGGAGGATCACTTGAGGCTAGGGGTTAGAGACCACCTTGAGTGACATAATGAGACCCCCCCATCTCTTAAAAAAAAAAAAAAAAAAAAAAGAAAGAAAAAAAGTAAAATATGGCCCAGAATCGTGGAACGCACCTGCAGTCCTGGTTATTCTGGAGGCTGAGCCAGGAAGATCCGCTTGAACCCAGGAGTTCAAGGTTACCGTGAACAATGATCACATCACTGCATTATAGACCAGGTGACAGAGCAAGACCTTGTCTCTAAACAATTTTTTTTTTTTAAGAAAAGAGATGTTTAGGAGAGGTCTTCAAATACTGAGACAGAATATTCACTTTCTCTCCAAAAGTGTTGAAATTCCATGATACTATTCACAAAATTATTTTCCTTTTTATATGGAAACAGAAGTTACTAACATTATAAACAAGTAAGATATATAAGTAAGATATTTCAAAGTTAACTGCAAACTTTTCCATGCGACAGTTACATGATTTTTTATGAGAGAGAATAAATAACACATGCAATTTAATATTTACAATTTATTTGTATAGAGATCCAGGTGGCCTGCCCACTGGGTTTTCCCCATTAGATTAAAGAGAAATAGTCACAAATGACGCAAAATGAGAACTTGCAAAAATGTAAGCCAATGGATTGAGAGGTAGGTGGAGGCCTAAACTTTTCCTCAGAAAAATGGAATAGGTTTAGAATACCACTTTCCCACTTGTTGCACCTTGGTTTGGTCCCTTTTTGCCTTTTGTCTGATTATTATCATCAAGCAAATAACTGTTGATCAGAGCACAGGACCAACTGGCAAAACTGAAATTTCCCTTCCTCAGGCAGAAAACAGAAGGCTGTATAGATAATACTGGGACGTAGACTGAGTTTGCACATGGAATAAATGATACCCTATTATCAGTTTATTTTTTCCTGTTGTTGCTCTGAAGTGTTTTGTTCATTGTGTTTAGTTGAATCAAAGTATTGATTTCAGGGAGAGACCTGTCTAGATTTTGGCAGATTTGAAACAGGGCACTTTAAAAAGAATTAAAAATACTAACTGTTTAGAAGTGAACTTAATTTTCCCAGAGTCTTTCTAGATAGGAGAGAGATCAAGAGATATATCAAGTCTGGCCAACATGGCAAAACTCCATCTTTACTAAAAAATACAAAAAAAAAAAAAAATTAGCCGGCTGTGGTGGCAGGCACCTATAATCCCAGCTACTCTGGGGGCTGAGGCAGAAGAATGGCCTAAACCCAGGAGGCGGAGGTTGCAGTGAGCTGAGATCATGCCATTGCACTGCAGCCTGGGAGACAGAACAGGTCTCTGTCTCAAAAAAAAAAAAAGAAAAGAAAAAAACAACAACAACGACTGCAAAGGAAGAAAACAAGAAAGAAAAGAAAACAAAGCTTGGAGCAAGGAACCAACGATCACTTTTGGCACCTATGTACCCTACAAGCTCCAGGGGGATAGCTTCCAAGGGGAGATTCCATACATGGACTCATTCTTCAATGAGGAAGGAAAATAATTCCCAGTCTAATCTTTACTCTGTATTTAGGGCTTCTTTAAGGGCCTACCACATGTGTCCTATTACAAACTCTCTCTTCTTCTCTGCATTCTGAGAATCCTCTGATACCATCCACTCCTGACTTCTAACTTGTATACTCACTAAACTCACCTCTCCCCACACCCCTTCCTCCATGCCCATATGCATATGATGTGTGTATGTCATCTCCAGAGAGGAGATGCTAGAGCCTTATTCTTACCTTTCTTCCTTTCTTTGCCTGGGTGAGAGGGAAATCGTAGGATCACGATGTCCAAATCTATATAACAAATTCAGACCTTTATCCTAAGCACCTTTCCCACATATCTACTCAAGCTGCATATTTCCACCTGAGTTTGTTAATTCTATGAATATTCGAGTACTTAGGTAATTGTAACCCATTAAGGTGTGATTCCTGACCTCATGGAGATTACATTCCAGGTAACATTTATTGACTATATTATCCTAATTTGATCTTCACAACAACTTTCTTTTTCTCCTTCACTTATGAATAACTGAATTAAAGGAACTTTTTCAAGGTCATATTGTTAGAAAGAAGGGAAGCTGGTGTGATTCACAAGGAAGTCAAGCTTTATGTATCCAAAACTAAACTCTTGGTCACTTTTCCCCTCCCTTCTGTTCAAAAATGAAGAGAAGGAGAGAGAAAGGCCCACCCGTCTTCATATAGTCTCAGTTTCTACCGTTGACTATCCCATTTTGCAAGCAAGAAATCTTTAGTTATCTTTGATTTCTCATTGTTCTTCGTTATCTGCACTTACTTAGTCAAAACTACAGTCAATTTTATAACCTAAATATTTTTCAGTTTCATCAGAATGCTACTGCCTTACTTCAGACCCTCATTATTTCTTTAGTGAAATATCATCCTAATTGATCTTTCAGTGATTTCATACCCTCCCATCTATTTTCCACATTGTCAACACATTTATTGCTCAAATGTCCAAATGTAATCATTCCTCTCTCATGTTATTACCTTCCGTGTCTCTCAGTTACCTTCAATGAAAAACTTCATCTCTATGCCTCTCCCATAAAGAGCTCCTGTTATAGCTGTAGAGGCTACCTGTGATTTGCTGAATCTGAGTGTGATCCAATTGTAAACTGGTAAAACTTCTTTGGAAAATAACTTAATGTTTTCTTATAAAGTTGAACATGGACTTACCATATGAACTAGCAGTTCCACTCCAAGGTATTACCTTAAGGGAAGAAACACATGTTGGTCCAAGGTATCATATCAACTTTCTTTTCAATAGCCAAAAACTGGAAACAACATTGATAAACCACTGAAAGATAAATTGATTTACATGTAATGATGTTCTGGAGCTAGCTTATTATCACCCTCCAGAGCCTATTGTTAAATTTTCAAAAATTTTGCCAGCTGGTTATATCATGTTGGTAGTTTGTATCTGTCATTGGTAGGAAGAGTTACACCATATAAACTGACAAGTTACACATCAAGGATCCTCACTTCCCCCGCCAACAGAAAGCTGGTTTTAAAGCACTTATCACATCACTGGTTATATTTGTAATATGGAATTCTTGCTTGAAATAAACTGAAACAAACTACAAATAAATACAACAACATAGATAAATCTCAAAGACATTATGCTGAGCAAAAGAGGCCAGGCAAGAAAGATTACAATACATATAATTTTATTTACTAGGTTGGTGCAAAAGTTATTGCAGTCTTTGTCACTATTTTTAATAAAAAACCACAGTTACTTTTGCACCAACCTAGTATTTGCAATTGCAGATATTTGCAAAAATAATCTACACTGACAAAAGACATAACAGTGGTTTCCTGGATCCAGGACTTTCGTAGTGGTAGGGGGCTGACTGCTTAAGTATATAGGGTAACTTTTTTGAGGTGATGAGATGTTCTATGTCTTAACTCTGGTAGTGGTCCCAGGGATACATTTGTCAAAACTTGTCAGACTGTGCTTTCAAAATGGTTGCATTTTATTGAATGCAGATTGTAGCTTAATAAAATTGATTTACATTTTGAAATTATATATGAATTATATTATATATAATTATTCATATATACCTGTACAGATATAACTTTATATTGAGAACTAGCTGAGTCATCTTATTTCTAGCACTGTAATCTCTGTGTGAAGCATTTGTGGTTTAATAGGAAAGATTCATAAAATTAATCTTATTTCAAGTCTTTTTATTAAAAATTTTGTCACATTTCTAAATACTAACTCTCTTCTTAATAGTTTTCCTCTGGTATTTAAAATTGCTTTTCTTAAGTTACTTCAAGTTAGATTGTTTTAGGAGGTGTGCTTAAGCAATTTTCTGGTTGGAGGTAGTATTAATTCCTAAAATCAGTAACAACTGAATTCAATAAGAAATACATGACTGGTATAGTTAATACTGCTTTAGAAAAAGTGTAACTACTAATAAATGACTTGCCCCACAAAAATCACTCGTTGTTTTGTCCTGACCTTAATGCAAATAAAATATTAAAATGTGTTATAAATATTTTGGAAATATTATTGGTGCTTTAAAGACTTTTAAGGCCATAAAAAATAGAATATTTTAAACAGAAGGACAAGTTACTACAATTTTAATTTCACTTGAAACTATACAAACTTGATTTCTGTACATATTTCAAATTTAACATTATATGATTTATCTTACCTTTAACGTGTAGCACCATAAAACATGTAAGAAGTCCTTGCATTTCTCTTGAAGCACACTTATATTTATTTTAGTCTACCATCCAAAAGATATTGCTCTCCTGAAGTATATGTTAAAGGTAATTTAGTCATGAAGTATTATTCATTTATAGTGGTGATATTAGAAGTTCTAATTAAAGACAGAGATGAAACATGTTTATATCCATATATAACAATTTTTCATTCATTTTCATTCTTTGCTTATGAATAATTCTATTTATCATTCAACCTGGAAATTGAATCTCTTGGGAACTACACATTGTTTTGGAGAGATGTGTGCTGAACTTTAATTGATAAGGAGAAAAGTATGTCATCTGTTTTCTATGAGATCTGATATAAAATTTTCCATTACTCTTTGTCTCTCTATTTTCCAAGTACATGTCCAATCTCAAAAGTAATGAGATTCACTTTAACACATTCACTTTAACATCAGACTATTTCAGGAATGACTGTAGCAGACACTGTTGGTGTCCTGTGCCAGGTCTTCATATTTCTGCCTCCGAGTCCTGCTGCAGTTATAATCTGAATTCTTCTCACCCTCTGTCTCAGGTCTTTCTCTAGGCAGCAGAGTCAATCTCTCCGAGTCCAGATGCAGTTGGGCCTACAGGGGTCCTGGGAGTGTTAAAGAAAGGGAGGCATGTGGTGACTTCAGACAGCAGGAATCTAGAGCTGGTGGGTAAAAGCCGCAGCCTCCAATCCTTCAGGTGAAAGTTTTGTGTACATACAACAGGACTTACCAGAGTCTTCAGAGGAATTCAGTCCCAGTTGCCCACATTGATGACAAGCTCAAATATTCCCTCTTAACTGTCTTTATATTACCTTGTCTCATTCTCTGTATTCTCTTACTCTAGCTCCCCAGGATCACCTCCCAAATAAAATACCTGTACCCAAGTCCTTAGCTCAGGTTGTGCTTTCAAGTGAACTCAAGCCAGGACAGCTTTTTCAGTATAATTACTTTTTAAGTTGGAAGTAACCTTTCTTGACTATATGTGATTATGCTAAATGTAGAGTTTGTAGTTCTCAGCTCTAAAATGAATATTTTGAATCATACCGTGGAAATGAGAACATTGATTTGAGTTCTTGCTCAAGTTCCAATTATGTGACCTTAAGAATATCATTTTCTTTCTGTGATCCACAAGTTCACTCTTTGTGGAGTGTGATGATAATAACTATTGTAGAACTTTTTAAAAGTGAAATTAGCTAATCTATGGGAAATCTTTTTAAGTACAAAGGACTGTATAAATGCAAGCCCATTTTAAATACTACCTGCTATGGTTTGAACGCTTTCCTCCTCCAAAACACATGTTGAAATTTAACCCCCAGTGCAATTGTGTTAAGAAGTGGAGTATAATAGGAAATGTTTAGGTCCTGAAGGGTCCACCTTCATGAATGAAGTAATGCCACTATAAAAATAGCTTGCAGGCATGGGTTCTCTCTTCTGCTCTTCTGCCTTGTGAAGGCAAGAGTTTCTTCCCTCTGGAGGCTGCAGCACTCAAGGGGTGCTGTCTGTCTTGAAAGCAGACAGTAGCCCTCACCAGACAACAGACACGAGTGCCTTGGTCTTGGCCTCCCAGCCTCAAGAACTCTGAGAAATAAATTTCTGTCCTACACAAATTACAGTATGTGACATTCTGTTTTAGCAGAATAAAATGAAATAAGATCCTACCTGACACAAAAATTTTTCTAAAATATTGTTCTTTAAAATTTAGTAGTTATTGATATTTACCTTTTGATTTTACTGATGTACATGTTTATCTTGTAAACTTTAAAAATTTTATTCACAATAGATAGGTATCAATCATGTGCACAACCCATTATGTGAATTGCTAAATAACATATTGTAGGTATGTATTAGCTCAATAATCGAAAAGTTTAGAAATGGCTTCAAACGTGGAAGAATATAGAATTCATTCAGTGAATCTCTTTTTCGCTGTCTCTCTCTTTTTCTCTCTCTCTCTCCCCTTCCCTCTCTCTCTTTTCTTCTCCCAGGTATTTTATCTATTGCTATTGAATTCATTCTTAGGTTTTCTGTATATCATGGAACAAGGGCCCTCTTTAGCTACTGTCTTTTATTATCCCAGTTTGGCAAATGAGGACAGGCTATATCTTGCTTAACAGTTTCAGAAAAATTCCAGGTATCACTCTAATTGAACATGTTGTGATAATTGGAGATGTTGTACATCCTTGACCCAATTATTGTGGAGATAGAGTCCTCTGATCTGCCGAGCCTGACAGTTATCTCTCCTCCCTTACTCCTTCTCAGTAAAACAGAAAAATATATCTACACATTTATTTACTATACCTCTTTCTTCTAAACAATGAGACCAGGTAGCTTCATCGGGCCTTTTTCTTTTCTGGCAGAAGTTATGAGCCCAAGTATTCACATTTAGAAGTGCACTATCCCAGTGGTAAATTTATTTGTATAATAAAAATAGGAAGAATTTATGAGAGATAGTTTCAAAGAGTAAGCAGTAGTTATCAAAGCTGAGCACAGATTGGAGACAAATTTTGAAGAATTCTAAGGAGGATATCAAATTATTGTTTGTAGTATGCCTTTCTCCATGGAATGATCAGGTAATTCTACATTGGAGGACCTCTTGGTACATCTTAAAAGTGACCACATTGCAACCTAGAATGGTACAGGGACATAGAGACTGAAGGATTTAAGATAGTGTGTATACAGAGAGACTATATATAAATTCATTCTGACAACTGGTATTTGGTAAGCTAAACTGTTGGTATTAATAGCACCATCTTACCTTTAAAAACTAGTTTGTCATTTATTGTTCAGACACTCTGCTCTGCTTGGAGGTATTCTAGATTCATAGTGAAGACATCGGTGATAAGATGTTCCAATTTATCCCTTTGCTAGGCTTTCTTTCCTAGTCATGAGTAATGAGAAGCAGAATATACTCCAAGCATAAATTTATTTATTAACCTCATATCCTAATAATATATAGTGGGATAAACAATGATTTTTGTCATTTTGGTATATTCTCTTCCTGGGCATGCAGTAAGCTGAGTTTTGTGTGCCCATGAATTTGATATTTCCTTGCTATTCAGGTGTGTCATGGAGATTGAGTTTTGGCCAATGGAATGTTGATGGCAATAATGTGTACTATTACTTGTCATGGCAATAATGTGTAATATTACTTGTCATGGAGTATTTTTAGAAATCTGCATAAATCTCCAGGTCTCACTTTTTCTACTGTGGTCATCCTGGAGAACAAGTATTACAGATGGTGTAACTGCAGGATGAATGAGGGCTGCTGGACCTATGTTGGACACTGCACTTATTTGTTATGATTCTGAATGTCTAGGATTTTTCTGTTGCAACAGTTAGGGCTGCTTACTCTAAAAAAATGCTTTATGCCATTAACCTAATCTCTGTATACTTATGATTAAAAATAAATAAAAGTCAGCTTGATAATAGACTTCAGGATTTTGTCATTACTTTTTTTTTTATCAATTTGCCTTTAAATGTCTTAATGGGGTCAAAACTAAGCTACCTTTTTCATGAAAGTTGCTTGATTCTTCTAAAATTTCCATTCCCATACATGCTCCTCTAGCTCTATTTATGTATATCTCCAGGTCTTAAAAAATATTTGGTCCATTTTTTAATTTATTGGAAAGTACTTTGCTACATCTCAAATTTATCAATTTTTTTCTGAATTAATTTATTTCCCAAAATAACACCAAAGGCCCTGGTTGCTATCTTCAACTTTCACATGCCTAATAGGTCCTCATTCATTCCATTAATGTGGAGATTAGTTAAGAAACTGATCTTATATGCCTTCCAATTCAATAAAGTTGTTGTAATTTTAATTCAAATACAAGTTAAATTAAAAGCAAATATCAATAACTTAATTTTAGAATATATTTTTATTAGTATTATTTTAAAATACTCTTCTTCATTGAATAGAACCCATACTACTTTTTAGGCTAGTCTAAGAGTTGGCAGTGCTGCTATTTCAGTTGTCTTAGCCCATAAGAATGAATACTGGCACCTTTTGAATTTGTTATTTAATATTTCTCCCTTATATCCTCAGCTTTGTATTTTACTTATGACTCTGCTTTGTTTTTGCATTATACATCTCTCTTTTTCAATTATTTAGTATTCTGTGTAACGCTTTTTTATCTTCTTATCTCGTCTAGATTTTCTTCCTTCAGTATCTACTTTTTTAAGAAAATATCTTATTACCATAATTTATTTTTTCATCCTCTATATAACTCTACAAAAGAATGTTATATCAAAGTGATATTTTATTTTTCATTTATTTAACTGAAATCTAATTATTTTGCCTTATGTTCTTTCTATAAGAATTTTTATGGGTTCCATGTAGATTTAATACTGTCTTTTATACCAACTTTCCTAAAGGAGGTATTTCATTGTATATTATCTTGTTTCAAACTCCAACTCTTCCAAGTATATGTGTTGCTTCTCAACTTCTATTGTAATAATCTCTGGTGCAGATATGCTAAAAACTACTTTTCTGTTCTTCATAGTTCCTAGTAGAGTGTGTAGTTTCTAGTAAGTTCTTAACCATCTATTAAATCAAACGGAATTAGATTAAATTCACATGTATATGTGACTGTAACAGTCATAGAAAATGATATAGATGTCAAAATCTTTGCATGTACTCTAATATTCTTTAAAAATAAAAAGAAAAAATATAATGTGCAGTTCATTCTAGTGAAAAGGGCACTTAAATTTGAAGATTCTTAGCCAGTAGCATTTCCAGTGTCACAAAATGTTACGGCTCCCTGAAGAGCATCGGTGTAGTAATTAAGCTCTTAGCTTCTGGAGTTGAACCCCCTGGATTCAAAGCCTTGCTGCAAACTTACTGATGTGAGTGTTATGCAAGGTAAGTAAACTCCTGTGACTCAGATTTTTATTTTTTGGTTATTTTCTTTTTCATCTTTAAAATAGCAGTAATTAATTCACAGGTTCTTATGAGAATTAAGTGTCAATACATGTAGTTAGTAGTAAACAGCATACAAGTGTTAACTATAATTTTAAATCTGTTTTGGCTATATATCTTGCAACTCATCACTCATGAGCATAAGTACAAAATTAAATTTGCTGGGGATCTCATATTGCCTGAGTAAGTAGCTGAGTAGTTGCCTGTCAGGCTACTGTCTACAGAAACCTCATGAAGTGACCTCCAAAAGGTTCAGGTTGATTTTGGTTTAACAAAACCTAAAAGAATTTTTTGAAATTTGGGCTTTAGAACACCATTAAGAGAACTGTTTGGGAGAAAAGTAAGTAGACAGAAACTTTGGTTAAATCACATACAATTTTATACAACAGGTAATTAAACATACAGTTAAACAGATCATCAAGTATGGTGTTATTTAAAACCAAAGTTTCCTATCTAGGGATGATTTCATAGTCCTTTCCTGCTGCTATAACTAAATACCACAGACAGGGCGATTTACAAGGAACAAAATTTTATTTCTCATTTTTTTCTGGCAGCTAGAAAGCTGAAGATCAAGGCACTGGCAAATTTGGTGTCTGGTAAGTGCTTGCTGTCTTCTTCCAATATCGTGCCTTGTTGCTGTGTCTTGTGGAGGGGACAAACGCTATGTATTCACTTAGCAAAAGGCATGAACTTACTCCCTCAAGCCATTTTACAAAGGCACTGATCCCACTGGTGGAGCCCTCACGGCCTAATCACTTCCTAAAGGTTCCACTTCGTAATAATGTTGTATTGGAGATTAAGTTTTAACATGAATTTTAGAGGGACCCAAACATTCAAACCATAAGATGGGCATCAGTCATTGGTGGTTAGAGTACTTTAAATTAACTTTAAGAATAACTAATTTAAGAATAACCACTTTAAGTTATTCCCACTTGGGGGAACTTTAAGAATAACTACTTTAAGTTATTCCTGAGTGGGAATAATTATATATATTATATGTAATATATGTTATAATTATTATATATTATAATTATATCTATATCTATATCTTTCTTGTTGCATTATCTTCTGCTGGCTCGTCCTACTATTCATGTCTTTCTGAGTTCCTGCTGTGATGATCATGCAGGGCGCAACACTAACCCTCTCACACTGGAGTGTTTTGCCTAAAGTACCTAAGTTCCAAATGGCTGTCACCATTACTCTAGCTGCTTCTCCTGGCAGCATGCTGAAGTACTGGTAAACTGGGAGGCTGATGTGTAGCAGTTATCAATATCCATGTTATAAATATTGCTGCCAAGCCCAATTTAAAGCTACCAATAGTTTAACAATCAGCTCATAAAATACCTGAACATTTAACAATGGGCTTGTGGGAACCAGAAGGAGCTGCCACCACAAGTGAGTGCAGATATTTCCTTTCCTATATACATTCTTGACTTTCAAAATTTCATAAATGTGAACAAGCTTAATGTTTTTTTTTTAACATCAGCCTCAACTTCTGCAATTCTTGAGGGATCAAGAAGGAATTTGTGATTTAAAACAACTTCTGAGTAAAGTGATATGAGAAGTTTATTCTTCTGACTTTTTCCTGTCTCTATCCATTAAAAAGCCCATACCATAATTATAGAGCAAGATCAAAGCGACAAAGTGTTCTTGAGGGTTTTCAACTAAAAATTGGGGCATGGGATATTGAGGGGTGTCTACTCTTTTTTTTTTTTCTTTCCCTGTAGGCTACAAAAAGCACATGGAAAAATAATATATGTAGAGAAGTTTAGAATACTTTAATTCAATATGCCTAGCACAGCTTGGCCTTTCCTCTCCAATATGCCTGCAATTCTCCCCTAAGCGTTCTGAGGAAAACTTTGAAACAATTAAACTATAATTCAATGCACTGCAGCTGTCTTACTAGACTTGCTCACCACCCTCTTTTAATGACTCCTTTCATTTTTCAATTCCCTTTACCAACTTGTATTTTAGAAATTATTGCATTTGAATATTCTTAAGCTGGTAATAATAACAAAAAAGTCCCTATTATTTTCTGTTTATAACAATACAAAACTCTAAAAGCACGCATTCTATTACACTTACCTGATTACTCCATTTATGATGGGGAATTTTGCGTTCCTTTCCACCAGGACAGTAAGGGATGCCAATTGCCTTGTTCGTTTAGCAAAACATGCACAAATGACATTTTACATGACATCTTGAAGTTGAAGAGGAGAGAAATTAGTGCTAAAGTCTGCAAGAAAAAATTGATACTATTCTTAGATTTCCCAGTTGCAGACTGATTCCTCATTTTCATTAGCTTCAAATATTATTTAGTGATTTTAGTGTTTGCCAATTCACTTGTTCTTCTTTTATCTGAATCCCACAATTACTCCATTGACATTATGTTTACTTGATTCAGAGCAAACAAGCTGAAAACCAGTCTGCTAACATAAGAGCTAAGGGAATAATGAGCAGATAAAATCATGCTGTTTCTCTCTCTCTCTCTCTCTCTCTCTCTCTCTCTCTCCCTCTATATATATACACACACACACACACACACACACACACACACACAAAACACCTTTCTCTAAATAACACAAGACACATGGAATACCTTGTCATACCTTCTTAGTCTTTGTGATAATCTGATTAAATTAATTAGGTAGATATTGCTTTGTCAAGGAGGAAGTAGCATCTCAAGAGAGGTGGTCATTTTCTCAACTGTCTTTTAATGGTCTATAGGGAGATAAATGATCTTTTTAGGACTTTTTTTGTGAGATTGGGCCGGGCCTGAGCAAAGAAATTGGACAGCATTGGAATGAGGAAAACTGAGAAACAATAAATTGATAATGCTATTGTTTTGAAACATGGATTGAATGACAAAATTAATATGTTAAAATGCAAATAGTTTCAAAGACTCAATTTTGGTGAAAATTATTCATTGATAATTTCTGTAGGTCGAAAAATAAGGACAAAAAGTTATATGACAAATCAAAACAAAGCAACTTAAAAACCTTTGGTGTGTTGTAAAAAGCACCAAGGGAAGTACTTCAGAAATTTTAAATAAATTTTATGTTTATTGTTTCTAACATTGATTAAGGATGACAAACATACAAAGTGACATGAAGATAATTACAAAACAATGTATCAGCAAACACACTGATTACATGAAAAGCAGCAGAATATGCCACCTCAAAATATGCTTCTTTGGCATGTAGACTATTTTGAGCTGAAGGAAATTGAGAAGAAAGAGATACAAGAAGAAGTTTCTGGTCTCTCCCTGTTTGCCTAAAGACAAGACATTCATTTTTTAGGTGTTTTCCCCTCCCATTTCTATCAGGAAGACCATAAATTAATTGCTGGAGACAACTCCAAATCCTTATTAGCCAAGAGATGGCAACAGAGGAATCTACATAAGAAACTTTACTAACTAGTCTTTATCTACCATTAGTTGTCCCATATGCATTACCTTCTCACAATTTGCAGACCCTAGAAACTCAAAGTCCTTTCCTTTATCTTGTCACTTACCTACAAATTTATTGGTCTTTTCTTATGATGCTATATAAGCCCAAGTTTTAACCACCACTTTGAGTTACTGATCGCTGAATTCTCTTGTGTGTATACATGATGCACTCATTAACAAAATTCTACTTTTCTTTCATTAACCTGTCTTTTGATAGTCTAATTTGCAAGGCCATAGCCAATAAATTTAAGATGGTTAGAGGAAAAGCAAATTTTTTTCTTCCTTGAATAATAATACAAATATAATTGGCAAATATTACTGATGAATAACCTTCTGTTTTACTTGGTACAGATAAACTCAGATCTTCTAATTACAACAGCTTAACTCAATCCTGCAAGCTCCAGCTAGCATTATCCTATACATCAGCAATATATATTCATTAGATATGTGAAAGTTCTCTTCCACGCTTAACAATGTGCAGATCAATTTTCAGGAGTCATTCTGACTGAGCAATTTGATTGCATCTTAAGAGGTTCAACTCCTCTGGCAAGATATGCTGATTTATTGGTTTCCAAATGGAAATGAAAATTCTAAGTGCTGGATCAGCAAAAACAAAGCACAGAAAGCTAGTGACCTTCAGGACCCTCGAGAGATTCCATGTGAGGGTTGCTTGATCCTAAACTCAAAGGAAGAATTGGCTCCATAGGCCTTAAACAAGCTCTGATGCTCTAAATTGAAAATCTTGTGACTGTGAATGATATACTCTCATTTTAGTCTATGCAAATAGTTCTCCCTGGAGCAAAATTTCCATTGGATTTTTGTGTTATAGAACTGTACAGCATGGTAGCCCTGCTGGGCATCCTTCACTGACAATGCCTTTCCATCCTCTTTATCACTTGCTTAAATTCTACCCCATCCTGAGATTTCTTCTCTTGCCATCATCGTATCTCTTTCTCTAACATCTCAGAACATGTAATTCTAAATGCTATTTCAAATTGCTAAAAGTCTTTTTATATGTTTTCATCTTCACCACTAAATTATTCCTTATGCAGGGAAACATTGCCTTATAATTCAGGAATACTTAGCCTTTTGCTCAGTGTTTACAACAATTTAAAAAACAATCTTGAAATACAGAAGATAAGCAACATCTATTTGCTTGACTGTCCATGAATGAGTTAGAAGCAACCCATGTCCTCAAGAATTTCATGCTATGTTGATGACTCCAAGCAATTCTGTTTTTTTTTTCTAATAGGTAATGCCCTTTCTCTGTTTTTCTTTGAAAACTTTCTGCTTAGTCTCAAAACTCAACTGAAATGTTATCTCTGTTTATTGAGACAGTGCATTATCCTCTTTGATTTAAATACTCTCACATAGCAATCTCTGTTTCATCATATGTTTAGAGGAAGTGAAGAGTATGGGCAGCAGTGCATGTTAATTTTCATTTTACAAAACTTTTCCTATCAATGTTGGCATTTTGCAACCAGTCCCAAGGTTTTAAAGGGGTAAAACTTGGTCTCAGATTGAAAGTTTATTGAGACTCAACTAAAACTTCATTATGCATTATTTTATGTGTATGTAGTACGTGTGTATATCCTACAAAAAAACACATATATATGTTTATATAAATATATATGTTTTTATAGGATAAACGTATATATGTGTGTATATTTTATAGGATAACAGAAACACATGCATACATATATACACATACACATATATCCTGCAAAGGAAAACATATAAGTATATATAAAAGCATATATGTTTATACATATACAAACCCACACACACAACTTTCAATTTTATTACATCAGCTGCTGCATCATTGTGGGGAAGGGCTAGTTGCTGTTCATGGGTGTGGGTCACCCACGTGATGTAGATTTGAATTTCATCCCAACAAGGGGTATCTTGCCACAACTCCTTTAATTCAGTTTTGCTATTAACAGGTGTTAATAGAAAGTTACCATTTTTGTGCTCTTATAAATCTTTTGTGTTTTGAATAAAATAATATATTCTATTTTTTAGTAATCATCTTTTATTGTATATATTTATTTAATATCTCCCTGCTAAACATTAGAATTTGGAATGCATTGCATTCTTTTGTGGGATGATCTAAATACAACCTTTTTCTTCTGTGAGATACTCTAAATATCTTTTGTGAGTTAATCTTTTATGAGATAATCTAAATATAACCACAAATAAGTCATCTCACATTGACATCTCCATTTTTCTTAGGGAAAAAAAACAGACCTTATTGTTTTATTTCCAGGACTGCATGCTTACTACTCTTTACTTTCAAGTAGTTTGTTGAGTCAAAAAAACAATTTTAAAATGCCTTCTATATAAAAATGTCAAGGAACAGAATCATGTATGGGTCCCACAGAGCTTTTCCGCTCCTTCATGGGCCCAAACTCTGCAGAGTCACAAATGAAGAGAGAAAAGTCTGAACTCAGAGAACTAATAGAATAATTTAGATATTATTAAACATCTTGAAGTTGAGTGCATGTAAACCATAGAGAAAGTTTTCTAAAATTGGCTTTAGGAATATCTCTGTTTTCCTGACTCTTTCCCCTCTGAGAAGCACCTGAAATACCTTCCTCTTTGTCTCCTGCACACAGCCCTCCATGGCAAGCTGACTCCCTCTCCCTGTTAACTATCTCTGCCCACTTGCTGCTCATGCATGCCATGTCCCTCACACAGAACAATTTGACCTGGGTATAGGGCCTAAATATGTATTATGTGCCCTTCCCCATGAGGCCTGACCACTATTCCAGCATCTTACATTAAGGTGGCTACAGATTAATAAGGTACAACGGATACTTTCAAATTTAAAAATTCATGAGTGAGGTGTTGAGGAATTGGTAACAGTGAGAAAAATGTCACTGAATAGCATAAGAGAAGTATTCTTTAGATAATTCGAAGGACTTGCTTTTATAAAACTGTCTTTCTAGTTTTTACTTTCCTAAACTTCTACCAACTTTGTACTCTTTTTCAACATCACCACCAATTCCCCTACATAGTTTTGAGGACAGTATAAAATAGTAATTTTTCCATGCTGAGGCCAATACTGTTATGTTACTGTTTGTCATATGGACTGAGGAGATGAAATGGAAACCAGCCCTATTGTCCCATACAGCTAATGTTATGGATTACTTTGAATAAATATAGAAATTGACTCTCTCAGTCCCAAAATGTATAAAATTGCATTTGCCTTATTTGAGTTCCCTTCTCAGGACACCAACTGATATTGTTTGGATGTTGTTCCCTCTAAATCACATGTTGAATTGTAATCCCCAATGTTAGAAGTAGAACCTGGTGGGAGGTGACTGGATCATGAGAATAGGTTTCTCCTAAATGGTTTAGTGCCACTCCCTTGGTGCTGTCCTTGTGATAGCGAGTTCTCATGAGATCTGGTTGTTTAAATGTGTGTGGCACCTCTATCCACTGCCTAGCTTCCTGCTCTTGCTATATAGCGTGCCTGCTCCCACTTTGCCTTCCACCACAAGTAAACGCTCCCGTAGGCCTCCCCAGGAGCCAAGCAGATGCCAGCACCATGCTTCCTGTGCAGCCTGCACAACTCTGAGGCAATAAAACATTTTTTCTTATTAAACTACCCAGTCTTGGGTATGTTTTTATAGCAATGCAAGAATAGCCTAATTCACCAACCATCAGGCCTCCAAGATAGTATCGTGAAACTTGAAGTTTATCAGATCACCACATCTGGTCAAGGACATGCCAAACCCCTCTCCCGTCATGATTGCCTTAAATGCCCACCTGCTTTCTGTTGAAGGCTTCTTAAGCTTCAAAGCTTCTTCCTCACCCCTTCCTAACTTCTGTTTTCACAAACGTGGTGCTTCCCTGCTATTTAAACTCCTAATTTTAGATGGTAGAGGAGATGGATTTGAGATTGATCTTCCATCTCCTTGGCTATAGCACCCAAATAAAGCCTTCTTCCCTGACATGACTTTTTATCTCAGTGATTGGCTTTCTGTGCAATAAGCAATGGGACCTAGAACAAACCCCTAGTGTTTTGGTAGCAAAATCATTGTGAATGTGATTTAGGGCATTACCTGCCAGGAATCCGAGGTAAGTGGTATGGGTAGTATCTACTGATAGAATATATAAGAACTTTGCTGTGTGATTATAAAAAAGGCAATCAATTCTATTCAGGCAGTAAAATAGAGTTGAGGTTCATTAGGTGTAGACATCAATTGATAGGTGCCACAAATCCTTTTAAATTTATCCATTAGAGTGACTATAAGTGACCAAAGTTTCCTTGGTTAACTTGGTATTCAAAAAACACTACAAAAGCAATAGTTTTGATTGAAAAAAATGATGATAATGTCAGGTAAAATAATTGTTAATAATTTTTTTCTGAGTTCATTCACCTGTCCCTTTGTTCATTCATCTATTCATTCCTTCAGTCAGTCAGTCAGTCATATAGCCAACACATCTTTATGGTGATCCTTCTCTTTGCCAGAAGGTATATATGCATACATGGCCCAGTCTACTAGGAGTCAGAGACCAAAGGAAAGACAAATACTAAATCAATAAGATAATAACTAAATGTATAATTATATATTGTGATGAATACTATAAATGATAAGAACAGGGTTCTATAAAATAAACTGAGGATGCCCAAATGAGTTTATAAAGGCAATATTATAGTCATATGCCTATATAATGACATTTTGGTCAATAAGGGACCACATATATGACAGTGGTCCCATAAGTTTAGAATATCCCATTTTTACTATATTTTTTTCTGTTTAAATACTTACCTTGTATCACAACTGCTTATAATATTCAGTGCAGTAACATGCTGTTAAGGTTCATAGCCTAAGAACAATAGGCTATAACATATGGCTATATCATCTAGGTTTGTGTAAGTACACTCTATGATGTTCATGTAATAATAAAATCACAATGCATTTCTCAGAATATATTGCCATTGTTAAGTGACATATGACTGTATGTAGTTTATAAAAAGGCTTTCCTCTGAAGTCTGCTTGGATTTTGCTTTCCATACTTCCTGGGTTTTATTAATTTGCTATAGCACTCACAGAACTCAAGGAAACACTTTATGTATATTTACCCACTTATTATAAAGGATATTACGAAGGAATACAGATGAATAGTCAGATGGAAGAGGTGTGCAGGGTAAGCATGAGGGAAGAGCCGTGAGGCTTCCATTCCTTTTCCAGCAGCATTATCTTGCAGGAACCTCCACATGTTTAGCTACCCAGAATCCCCTGGAATCCAATCCTTTTGGATTTTTATAGAAGTGCCATATGTAGGTATGACTGATTAAATCAATGGCCATTGGTGATCGACTTAACTTTTAGTCTTTCTCCCCTTCCTGGTTTTGGAGGGTGGACCTGAAAGCCCTAAACCTCTAATTTTGCCTTGGTCTTTCTTGTAAATGACCTGCATCCTGAATTCACCCAGGGGCAGCCAGACACCTGTCATCTCATTAGCATACAAATGACACTTAACACTCCTGAGATTCCAAGGGTTTTAGGAGCTGTGTCAGGAAACCTGGGGGAAGACCAAGTATCTATATCTTTATTTATATCTATATCTATATCTATATCTATATCTATATCTATATCTGTATCTATCCATATCTATATGTCACAATATCAGAGCCTCTATAGCAAATTGATATACATTTTATGTTTATCTTTCCAGAAATATTTTATATATTATTCTGTATTTATCCTGGTTTATCCCACATAAAATAAAAAAGGGGTTAAAATTTTTAGTGATACTTTCTTAATGATACAAAAATGTCACTTTTCATACATGGGCTAGCCAAGGATTCACAGGAAGTTTCAATGACAATTTTATTTCTAATTATTACAAGTTAATATAAATCACTCCAAAAAACCCAATGTCTGAATACCTTTGTTTTTTGGCATAAGAGTCTTTTCTTATAAACACCAGCAGAGAATAAGTGTTTTGATTTCATTCTATATAACATAAATTAATAATTGTTCTCCAAAAATTAAATGATCAAGTCATATCAAATTTGCATTACAAAAACTTGCCTTAAGAGGAAAACGTGTTTACTTGAATGTGTGCAACAAACAAAGGAAAAACTGCAAAAACCACCCATTCAGAAACTAACAATTAGGATGTTTTATGCAGTCACTCATGCAAGCTTTGAAATTCACTGTTAATAGGAATTTAATGTAAGGTGCTGGGCCTGTAGAGTCATTTCTTTGGAACCCTAAGTTTTGCTCTGCTAAGGATCTTTGTATACTGATGGTCTCAAATTAGTTTTTCATATCATCCTCCAGTCCCCACACTGGGTATAATTAAGGGGAGCCATTTGTTGCCTAATATGCTTTCTTCTGGAACAATTCTCAATCTGCCAGATCCTCCTGGTGAGTGAGATAGAGAAGCATATTGATTTCTAGGCTGCGTGGCGTAGATTATATACCATAGCTTCGTTTTCTAAAAGGTCTTTGAGTTCCCTGAGTGCCCTGAGCAAGAGACTGTCTTTTAAAAGGCCCAACTTGCTGCTCACTGGGAGTAATACTCTATTATCCAACCAGAGAATTGGTTTGTGCAGTATTTATTTTTAGCATACCCTCAGCTTTTCATTCTCCCAGGGACTGAGAATTTGTGTGAGTGTTGGTTTGTTTGTTTGTTTGTTTTGCTTTGGGTTTTGATTTTTATACACCCTAATCATATATCAGCAAAGTTTGTTAGAACCCCTGTGCAAAGGTAAATGCTTTAAATAGGGCTGTGGTCTTATTCATTTGTTTAGTTGAAATTAATTGCAAAACAAACTATTCAGAGAAAAATGAGGGGAAGGTTTACACATGTAATATATGAGATACGGAACAACAGGGGTCATATTTTTGTATTCCTCACATCACCTACTTAGTGTTTGTTACTTAATAGAATATGAGTATATGCTACAAAACAGTTGACTTGAGCAATGTGGCCGGCCATTAATTCTCCCTTTTCAAATCATATGGGCCATTTTCTTTCACTGGTAACTGAATTTAGCAAAATGTATTGACAACAGGGTTATTTTTTTTTAAAACACCTGTATGAAATAAAAACACAATTATTACAAATATCAGTTTCCTTTACTATATTCTTCTCATCGAAACTAAAGTGAAAAAACAAACAAAAAAATTGAAATTGAAATTCACTTTAACAATACTTTACAGACAAGCAAATGCTGAGAGATTTTGTCACCACCAGGCCTGCCTTACAAGAGCTCCTGAAGGAAGCACTAAACATGGAAAGGAACAACCGGTACCAGCCGCTGCAAAATCATGCCAAAATGTAAAGACCATCGAGACTAGGAAGAAACTGTATCAACTAACGAGCAAAATAACCAGCTAACATCATCATGACAGGATCAAATTCACACATAACAATATTAACTTTAAATGTAAATGGACTAAATGCTCCAATTAAAAGACACAGACTGGCAAATTGGATAAAGAGTCAAGACCCATCAGTGTGCTGTATTCAGGAAACCCATCTCACGTGCAGAGACACACATAGGCTCAAAATAAATTCACTTTAACACCCCACTGTCAACATTAGACAGATCAACGAGACAGAAAGTCAACAAGGATACCCAGGAATTGAACTCAGCTCTGCACCAAGCTGACCTAATAGACATCTACAGAACTCTCCACCCCAAATCAACAGAATATACATTTTTTTCAGCACCACACCACACCTATTCCAAAATTGACCACATACTTGGAAGTAAAGCTCTCCTCAGCAAATGTAAAAGAACAGAAATTATAACAAACTATCTCTCAGTCCACAGTGCAATCAAACTAGAACTCAGGATTAAGAATCTCACTCAAAACCGCTCAACTACATGGAAACTGAACAACCTGCTCCTGAAAGACTACTGGGTACATAACGAAATGAAGGCAGAAATAAAGATGTTCTTTGAAACCAACGAGAACAAAGACACAACATACCAGAATCTCTGGGACACATTGAAAGCAGTGTGTAGAGGGAAATTTATAGCACTAAATGCCCACAAGAGAAAGCAGGAAAGATCCAAAATTGACACCCTAACATCACAATTGAAAGAACTAGAAAAGCAAGAGCAAACACATTCAAAAGCTAGCAGAAGGCAAGAAATAACTAAAATCAGAGCAGAACTGAAGGAAATAGAGACACAAAAAACCCTTCAAAAAATTAATGAATCCAGGAGCTGGTTTTTTGAAAAGATCAACAAAATTGATAGACCGCTAGCAAGACTAATAAAAAAAAGAGAGAAGAATCAAATAGATGCAATAAAAAATGATAAAAGGGATATCACCACCGATCCCACAGAAATACAAACTACCATCAGGGAATACTACAAACACCTCTATGCAAATAAACTAGAAAATCTAGAAGAAATGGATAAATTCCTTGACACATACACTCTCCCAAGACTAAACCAGGAAGAAGTTGAATCTCTGAATAGACCAATAACAGTAGCTGAAATTGTGGCAATAATCAATAGCTTACCAATCAAAAGGAGTCCAGGACCAGATGGATTCACAGCCGAATTCTACCAGAGGTACAAGGAGGAACTGGTACCATTCCTTCTGAAACTATTCCAATCAACAGAAAAAGAGGGAATCCTCCCTAACTCATTTTATGAGGCCAGCATCATTCTGATACCAAAGCCAGACAGAGACACAACAAAAAAAGAGAATATTAGACCAATATCCTTGATGAACATTGATGCAAAAATCCTCAATAAAATACTGGCAAACCGAATCCAGCAGCACATCAAAAAGCTTATCCACCATGATCAAGTGGGCTTCATCTCTGGGATGCAAGGCTGGTTCAATATACGCAAATCAATAAATGTAATCCAGCACATAAACAGAGCCAAAGACAAAAACCACATGATTATCTCAATAGATGCAGAAAAAGCCTTTGACAAAATTCAACAACCCTTCATGCTAAAAACTCTCAATAAATTAGGTATTGATGGGACATATTTCAAAATAATAAGAGCTATCTATGACAAACCCACAGCCAATATCATACTGAATGGGCAAAAACTGGAAGCATTCCCTTTGAAAAATGGCACAAGACAGGGATGCCCTCTCTCACCACTCCTATTCAACATAGTGTTGGAAGTTCTGGCCAGGGCAATTAGGCAGGAGAAGGAAATAAAGGGTATTCAATTAGGAAAAGAGGAAGTTAAATTGTCCCTGTTTGCAGACGACATGATTGTATATCTAGAAAACCCCATTGTCTCAGCCCAAAATCTCCTTAAGCTGATAAGCAACTTCAGCAAAGTCTCAGGATACAAAATCAATGTACAAAAATCACAAGCATTCTTATACACCAACAACAGACAAACAGAGAGCCAAATCATGAGTGAACTCCCATTCACAATTGCTTCAAAGAGCATAAAATACCTAGGAATCCAACTTACAAGGGATGTGAAGGACCTCTTCAAGGAGAACTACAAACCACTGCTCAAGGAAATAAAAGAGGATACAAACAAATGGAAGAACATTCCATGCTCATGGGTAGGAAGAATCAATATCGTGAAAATGGCCATACTGCCCAAGGTAATTTACAGATTCAATGCCATCCCCATCAAGCTACCAATGACTTTCTTCACAGAATTGGAAAAAACTACTTTAAAGTTCATGTGGAACCAAAAAAGAGCCCGCATCGCCAAGTCAATCCTAAGCCAAAAGAACAAAGCTGGAGGCATCACACTACCTGACTTCAAACTATACTACAAGGCTACAGTAACCAAAACAGCATGGTACTGGTACCAAAACAGAGATATAGATCAATGGAACGGAACAGAGCCCTCAGAAATAATGCCACATATCTACAACTATCTGATCTTTGACAAACCTGAGAAAAACAAGCAATGGGGAAAGGATTCCCTATTTAATAAATGGTGCTGGGAAAACTGGCTAGCCATATGTAGAAAGCTGAAACTGGATCCCTTCCTTACACCTTATACAAAAATCAATTCAAGATGCATTAAAAACTTAAACGTTAGACCTAAAACCATAAAAACCCTAGAAGAAAACCTAGGCAATACCATTCAGGACATAGGCATGGGCAAGGACTTCATGTCTAAAACACCAAAAGCAATGACAACAAAAGACAAAATTGACAAATGGGATCTCATTAAACTAAAGAGCTTCTGCACAGCAAAAGAAACTACCATCAGAGTGAACAGGCAACCTACAAAATGGGAGAAAATTTTCGCAACCTACTCATCTGACAAAGGGCTAATATCCAGAATCTACAATGAACTCAAACAAATTTACAAGAAAAAAACAACCCCATCAAAAAGTGGGCGAAGGACATGAACAGACAGTTCTCAAAAGAAGACATTTATGCAGCCAAAAAACACATGAAAAAATGCTCACCATCACTGGCCATCAGAGAAATGCAAATCAAAACCACAATGAGATACCATCTCACACCAGTTAGAATGGTGATCATTAAAAAGTCAGGAAACAACAGGTGCTGGAGAGGATGTGGAGAAATAGGAACACTTTTACACTGTTGGTGGGACTGTCAACTAGTTCAACCATTGTGGAAGTCAGTGTGGCAATTCCTCAGGGATCTAGAACTGGAAATACCATTTGACCCAGCCATCCCATTACTGGGTATATACCCAAAGGACTATAAATCATGCTGCTATAAAGACACATGCACCTGTATGTTTATTGTGGCATTATTCACAATAGCAAAGACTTGGAACCAACCCAAATGTCCAACAATGATAGACTGGATTAAGAAAATGTGGCACATATACACCATGGAATACTATGCAGCCATAAAAAATGATGAGTTCATGTCCTTTGTAGGGACATGGATGAAATTGGAAATCATCATTCTCAGTAAACTATCGCAAGAACAAAAAACCAAACACCGCATATTCTCACTCATAGGTGGGAACTGAACAATGAGATCACATGGACACAGGAAGGGGAATATCACACTCTGGGGACTGTTGTGGGGTGGTGGGAGGGGGGAGGGATAGCATCGGGAGATATACCTAATGCTAGATGACGAGTTAGTGGGTGCAGCGCACCAGCATGGCACATGTATACATATGTAACTAACCTGCACAATGTGCACATGTACCCTAAAACTTAAAAGTATAATAAAAAAATAAATAAAATAAAATAAAATAATCAAGACTGATGACAGAATTCATCTGGGGAGGAGTCTGAGGTCAAATCCTCAAAGAGTGCTATAAGGTTTGCATATGACTGCGGCAAGAAGTGTTGCATGCTGCCTTAGATTTTTCTGGACAGGGTACCAGAATGGGTACTCTTTTTCCCTTTTTTTTTTATTATACTTAAATTCTGGGATACATGTGCAGAACGTGCAAGTTTGTTACACAGGTATACATGTGCCATGGTTGTTTGCTGCACCCATCAACCCATCAACCACATTAGGTATTTCTCCTGATGCTATCCCTCCCCTTGCCCTCTACCCCCTGACAGGCCCTTGTGTGTGATGTTCCCCTCCCTGTGCCCATATGTTCTCATTGTTCAACTCCCACTTATGAGTGAGAACATGCGGCAATTGGTTTTCTGTTTCTGTGTTAGTTTGCTGAGAATGATGGTTTCCAGCTTCATCCGTGTCCCTGCGAAGGACAAGAACTCATTCTTTTTTATGGCTGCATAGTATTCCATGGTATATATGTGCCACATTTTCTTTATCCAGTCTATCATTAATGGGCATTTGGGTAAGTTCCAAGTCTTTTTTATTGTGAATAGTGCTGCAATAAACATATCTGTGCATATGTCTTTATAGTAGAATGATTTATAATCCTTTGGGTATATACCAAGTAATGGGATTGGTGGGTCAAATGGTATTCCCGTTCTGGATGCCTAAGGAATTGTCACAGTGTCTTCCACAATGGTTGAACTAATTTACACTCCCGCCAACAGTGTAAAAGTGTTCCTATTTCTCCACATCCTCTCCAGCATCTGTTGTTTCCTGACTTTTTAATGACTGCCATTCTAACTGGCGTGAGATGGTATCTCATTGTGGTTTTGATTGACATTTTTCTAATGACCAGTGATGATGAGCTTTTTTTCATGTCTTTGATGGCTGCATAAACATCTTCTTTTGAAAAGTGTCTCTTCATATCCTTTGGACAGTTTTTGATGGGGTTGTTTGCTTTTTTCTTGTAAATTTGAATTCCTTGTAGATTCTGGATATTAGCCCGTGGTCAGATGGATAGATTGCAGAAATTTTCTCCCATTCTCTAGGTTGCCTGGTCATTCTGATGGTAGTTTCTTTTGCTGTGCAGAAGCTCTTTAGTTTAATTAGATCTCATTTGTCAATTTTGGCTTTTGTTGCCATTGCTTTTGGTGTTTTAGTCATGAAGTCTTTGCCCATACCTATGTCCTGAATGATATTGCCTAGATTTTCTTCCAGGGCTTTTATGGCCTTAGGTCTTACATTTAAATCTTTAACCCATCTTGAGTTAATTTTTGTATAAGGATTATGGAAGGGGTCCAGTTACAGTTTTCTGCCTATGGCTAGCCAGTTTTCCCAACACCTTTTATTCAATAGGGAATCATTTCCCCCTTGCTTGTTTTTGTCAGATTTGTCAAACAACAGATGGTTGTAGAAGTGTGGTGTTATTTCTGAGGCATCTATTCTGTTCCATTGGTCTATATATCTGTTTTGGTACAAGTACCAAGCTGTTTTGGTTACTGTAGCTTTGTAGTATAGTTTGAAGTCAAGTAGTGAGATGCCTCCAGCTTTGTTCTTTTTGCTTTACTATTGTCTTGGCAATATGGGCTCTTTTTTGGTTACATATGTAATTTAAAGTAGTTTTTTGTAATTCTGTGAAGAAAGTCAATGGCAGCTTGATGGGAATAGCGTTGAATCTATAAATTACTTTGGGCAGTATGGCCATTTTTATGATATTGATTCTTCCTATCCATGAGCATGGAATGTTTTTCCATTTGTTTGTGTCCTGTCTTATTTCCTTGAGCTGTGGTTTGTAGTTGTCCTTGAAGAGGTCCTTCACATCCCTTATAAGTTGTATTCCTAGGTATTTTATTCTCTTTGTAGAAATTGTGAATGGGAGTTCACTCATGATTTGGCTCTCTGTTTGTCTATTATTGGTGTATAGGAATGCTTGAGATTTTTGCACATTGATTTTGTATTCTGAGACTTTGCTGAAGTTGCTTATCAGCTTAAGGAGATTTTGGCCTGAGACGATGGGGTTCTCTAAATATACAATCATGTCATCTGCAAACAGATAATTTGACATCCTCTCTTCCTATTTGAATAAACTTTATTTCTTTCTCTTGCCTGATTGCCCTGGCCAGAGCTTCCAACACTGTGTTGAACAGGAGTGATGAGAGAGGGCATCTTTGTCCTGTGCCAGTTTTCAGAGGGAATGAATGTGTCCAGCTTTTGCCCATTCAGTATGATGTGGGCTGTGGGTTGTCATAAATAGCTCTTATTATTTTGAGATGCGTTTCATCAAAACCTAGTTTATTGAGTGTTTTTAGCATGAAGTGGTGTTGAATTTTATTGAAGGCCTTTTCTGCACATTGAGATAATCATGTTGTTTTTGTCCTTGTTTCTGTTTATGTGATGGATTATGTTTATTGATTTGCATATGTTGAACCAGCCTTGCATTCCAGGGATGAAGCCGACTTGATAGTGGTGGAGAAGTATTTTAATGTGCTGCTGGGTCTGGTTTGCCAATATTTTATCAAGGATTTTCGCATTGATGTTCATCAGGGATATTGGCCTGAAATTTTCTGCTTTTGTTGTGTCTCTCCAAGGTTTTGGTATCAATTTGATGCTGGCCTCACAAAAAGAGTTAAGGAGGACTCCCTCTTTTTCTACTGCTTGGAATAGTTTTAGAAGGAATCTTACCAACTCCTCTTTGTACCTCTGGTAGAATTTGGCTGTGAATCCATCTGGTCCTGGTCTTTTTTTTTGTTTGGTAAGCTGTTAATTACTGCCTCAATTTCAGAACTTGTTATTCATCTATTCAGGGATTCGACTTCTTCCTCGTTTAGTCTTGGGAGGGTGTATGTGTCCAGGAATTTATCCAATTTTTCTAGATTTTCTAGTTTATTTGTGTAGAGGTGCTTATAGTCTTCTCTGATGGTAGTTTGTATTTCTGTGGGATCAGTGGTGATATCCCCTTTATCATTTTTTATTGTGTCTATTTGATTCTTCTCTCTTATCTTCTTTATTAGTCTGGCTAGCAGTCTATCTATTTTGTTAATCTTTTCAAAAAACCAGCTCCTGGATTCATTGATTTTTTGAAGGGTTTTTCTTGTCTGTATCTCCTTCAGTTCTGCTCTGATCTTAGTTATTTCTTGTCTTCTGCTCGCTTTTGAATTTGTTTACTCTTAGTTCTCTAGTTCTTTTCATTGTACTGTTAGGGTGTCAATTTTAGATCTTTCCTGCTTTCTCCTGTGGGCATTTAGTGCTATAAATTTCCCTCTAAACACTGCTTTAGCTGTGTCCCACAGATTCTGGTGCATTGTGTGTTTGTTCTCATTGGTTTCAAAGAACTTTTTTATTTCTGGCTTAATTTTATTATTTATCCAGTAGTCATTCAGGAGCAGGTTGTTCAGTTCCCATGTAGTTGTGCAGTTTTGAGTAAGTTTCTTAATACTGGGTTCTAATTTGATTTCACTGTGGTCTGAGAGAATGTTTATTATGATTTCCATTCTTTTGCATTTGCTGAGGAGTGTTTTACTTCCAATTATGTTGTCAATTTTAGAATAAGTGCAATGTGTTGCTGAGAAGAATGTATATTCTGCAGTCCTGGGGTGGAGAGCTGTGTAGTTGTCAATTAGGTCTGCTTGTTCCAGAGCTGAGTTTAAGTCCTGAATATCCTTGTTAATTTTTTGTCTCATTGATATGTCTAATATTGACAGGGGGCTGTTAAAGTCTCCCACCATTATTGTGTGGGAGTCTAAGTCTCTTTGTAGGTCTCTAAGAACTTGCTTTATGAATCTGGGTACTCCTGTATTGGGTGCATATATATTGAGGATAGTTGCATTGATCCCTTCACTATTATGTAATGCCCTTCTTTATCTTTTTTAATCTTTGTTGGTTTAAATTCTGTTTTATCAGAGACTAGCATTGTAACCCCTGCTTTTTTTTTCTTTCCATTTGCTTGGTAAATCTCCCTCCATCCCTTTATTTTGAGCCTATGTGTGTCTTTGCATATGAGATGGGTCTCCTGAATACAGCACCCCAATGGTTCTTTACTCTTTATCCAATTTTCCAGTCTGTATCTTTTAATTGGGGTATGTAGCCATTTACATTTAAGGTTAATTTTGTTATGTGTGAATTTCATCCTGTCATTATGATGCTAGCTGGTTATTTTGCCCATTAGTTGATGCCGTTTCTTCATAGTGTCGATGGTCTTTACATTTTGGTATGTTTTTGCAGTGGCTGGTACTGGTTTTTCCTTTCCATATGTAGTGCTTTCTTTAAGAGCTCTTGTAATGCAGGCCTGGTGGTGACAAAATACCTCAACACTTGTTTGTCTGTAAAGGACTTTATTTCTCCTTCACTTATGAAGCTTAGTTTGGCTGGATATGAAATTCTGGGTAGAAAATTCTTTTCTTAAGGAATGTTGAATATTGGTCCTCACTCTCTTCTGGCTTGTAGGGTTTCTGCAGACAGATCCACTATTAGCCTGATGGGCTTCCCTTTGTGGGTAACTCGACCTTTCTCTCTGGCTGCCCTTAACATTTTTTCCTTCATTTCTACCTTGGTGAATCTGACAATTATGTGTCTTAGGGTTGCTCTTCTCGAGGAGTATCTTTGTGATGTTCTCTGTATTTCATGAATTTGAATGTTGGTCTGTCTTGCTAAGTTGGGGAAGTTCTCCTGGATAATATCCTGCAGAGTGTTTTCCAACTTGGTTCCATTATCCCGGTCACTTTCAGGTACACCAATCAAATGTGGGTTTGGTCTTTTCACATGGTCCCATATTTCTTGGAGGGTTTGTTTGTTCCTTTGCATTATTTTTTCTCTACTCTTGTCTTCACACTTTATTTCATTAAGTTGATCTTCAATCTCTGATATCCTTTCTTCTACTTGATTGACTCAGCTATTGATACTTGTGTATGCTTCACAAAGTTCTCATGCTGTGTTTTTCAGCTCCATCAGGTCATTCATGTTCTTCTCTAAACTGGTTATTCTAGTTGGAATTTCCTGTAACTTTTTATCAAGGTTCTTAGCTTCCTTGCATTGAGTTAGAACATGATCATTTAGCTCAGAGGAGTTTGTTATTAACCACCTTCTGAAGCCTACTTCTGTGAATTCATCAAAATCATTCTCCATCCAGTTTTGTTCCCTTGCTGGCAAGGAGTTATGATCCTTTGGAGGAGAGAAGGCATTCTGGTTTTTGGAATTTTTGGCCTTTTGGCACTGTTTTTTCCTTACCTTTGTGGAATTACCTACCTTTGGTCTTTGATGTTAATGATCTTTGGATGGGGTTTTTGAGTGGTTGTCCTTTTGTGGATTTTGATTCTATTGCTTCCTGTTTGTTAGTTTTCCCTCTAACAGCCAGGCCTCTCTTCTGTAGGTCTGCTGGAGTTTGCTGGAGGTCCACTCCAGACCCTGTTTTCCTGGGTATCACCAGTGGAGGCTGCAGAACAGAAAAGATTGCTGCCTGCTCCTTCCTCTGGAAGCTTCATCACAGAGGGGCATCTGCCAGATGCCAGCCGAAGATATCCTATATTAGGTATCTATTGGCCCCTCCTGGGAGGTGTCTCCTAGTCAAGAAGCATGGGGGTCAGGGGCCCACTTGAGGAGGCAGTCTGTCCCTTAGCAGAGCTCGAGCACTGTGCTGGGAGGCCTGCTGCTCTCTTCAGAGCTAGCAGGCAGGAACATTTAAGTCTGCTGAAGCTGTACCCACAGCAGCCCCTTGCCCCAGGTGCTCTGTCCCAGGGATATGGGAGTTTTATCTATAAGCCCCTGATTGGGGCTACTGCCTTTCTTTCAGAGATGCCCTGTTAAGAGAGGAGGAGTCTAGAGTGGCAGTCTGGCTATAGGGGCTTTGTGTCACTGCAGTGGGCTCCACCAAGTCCAAACTTCCTGGTGGCTTTGTTTAGGTTGAAAACCACCTACTCAAGCCTCAGTAATGGTGGGTGACCCTCCCTCTACCAAGCTTGAGTGCCCCAGGTGGACTTCAGACTGCTGTGCTGGCAGCGAGAATTTCAAGTCAGTGGATCTTAGCTAGCTCGGCTCTGTGGGGGTGGGATCCACTGAGCTAGACCACTTGGCTCCCTGGCTTCAGCCCCCTTTCCAGGGGAGTGAAGGGCTCTGTCTCGCTGGCGTTTCAGGTGCCACTGTGGTATGAAAAAAAACAAAAACAAAAACAAAAAACAACCGAGTCCTGCAGCTAGCTCAGTGTCTGCCCAAATGCCCACCCAGCTTTGTGCTTGAAACCCCAGGCCCTGGTGGTGTAGTCACCTGAGGGAATCTCCTGGTTTGTGGGTTGTGAAGACAGTGGGAAAAGTGTAGTATCTGGGCAGGATAGCTCTGTTTTTCACAGCACAGTCCGTTACAGCTTCCCTTGGCTAGAAGAGGGAGTTTCCCCACCCTTGTGCTTCCCAGGTAAGGCAATGCCCCACCCTGCTTCTGCTCACCTTTTGTGGGCTGCACCCACTGTCTAACCAGCTCCAGTGAGATGAGCCAAGTACCTCAGTTGAAAATGCAGAAATCACCCACCTTCTGCATTGGTCTTGCTGGGAGCTGTAGACCGGAGCTGTAGACTGGAGCTGTTCCTATTCGGCCATATTGCCCAGGATATCCAGAGTGGGTAATTTATATGATTTACCCAGAGTGGGTAATTAATAATGATACCATAGACTGTGTAGCTTATGATCACAGAATTTTGTTTTTCACAGTTTTATAGGCTGAGAAGTCCAAGATCAAGATGCCTTGAGATTCAGTGTCTGTCTGGTGAGGGCCCACATCCTGTTCATAGAATTGCCCCTTCATGCTGTGTTTTCACAATTCACATATGATGGAAAAGGCAAATAAGCTCCCTAAGACCTTTCCTTGTAATAGCACTATCCCAGTCATTAAGGCTCTACCCTTATGTTCTAACCACTCTCCAAAGACCTTGCCTTTTAATATCATCACCTTCGGAGTTAGGATTTCAACCTATGAATTTGGGGGGAACACAAACATTTGGACTATATGAAGTAGCATTTTAATGAAGATGAAGAGACAATGATATCAGATTGATAATGAGAAGCAAAGAGGTCATCAACCCTACCTCTAGTCACAGTAGTACCTATGATGTAGAAAGGAAAGAAAATAACACCAGAAAGCAGTGTGCTCAGTTAAGGGGGCTTGGTTTCTTGAGCAGCTTGTTTCTTGGAAACAAAACTGATGCTACACACATAGGCTAGGGTGGTCCTACAAAGTGCTCATGGTAATCTGTCCCCCTTCAATCTTGAAGTGGACAGTATTATGGCTGTGGTTGTCCTTGGAAAAACTGTGTGAAAAACAGAAGGCTTCCCACTCAGCACCATGAAAGTTTCCTGTTAGCATCTTCTTTGTGCCCATATAATGCAGCAGGTTTGCAACACACACATATCTAGTGATGGGTTAACCTTGTTAACAGCCATGTGGATTCTCCTTCTGTGGAGCAAGAATGCTTTTATTTACCTCTTTTATTTACCCAAGTACCTAAAGAAGAGTCTTCCCTCTGCCTTATCCCCTCTCTCAAATCAATCACCAAGTCCTTAACAGTCTCTAAGACTGTTATTTCTTTTTTGAGTTTGCCATTTCCTCTGTCTTGGCATTCAGACCACTCTCATTTGTCTTTGGTATTATTACAACTTTCCTGCAGCATCCAAGCTTGTCTCCCTACCTTCAGTCTTCAAGCCTCTAATCCTTTTACACTAAGGTGTGAAACTGATGCTATCATTTCCAAATTAAAAATGCTTAATAGCTCTCTCATGCTTCCAAGATAAAGTTCAGCCTTTTGCCACAACTTCCAATACCCTCGTGATCTGGCTTGCTTATTATCAATCCTCACTACTACCTTTGCTACTTTCGACCTTGTACTCTCAATTAGCTATACTGGACAACTGGAATTTCTTCAGTACACCATGCTGTGTACACCGTTGCACATGATTTGCCCTCTGCTTGGACCTAGTAACCTCCTACTACTCATTCTTGGGTCTCGACTCAGATTCAACTTCCTCTGAGAAGCCCTCCACGATAACACAATGGATGACTTTTTCTATTTCCAGAGTCCTCTATTCTTATTCTGCTCACAGCACTTAACAGTTAGACTTGAAATGGTCTGTTTTTATATCTGTCTTGTCTACTAAAACAAGTTCTTTGGCAAAAATTATGTTTAGTTTCCCTCATTGTTAGTATCTGAGGGACTAGTATAGTATGAGGCATGCATTACAAAGTCAGGGATAAACAGCACCAGTAAAGGGAAAGAACTTTAACCAATGAAAATAAAGAGCAGCTCTGATTATGTATGAGAATGTCCTCTGCCTACCCACCCACATAGACATTTCTAGAGATTTACAGATAAGAAAAGATGTAGTCCTTTCTCTTGGCATGAATAAAAGTTCTTTTCAACAGATTTAGGAACAATTTGTATATCCAATACCATGTAAGACCCTCTTAAATTAGAGCCCAGGGAACATTTGGGTAAAGGCAATTTTACGCAGTGGACAAGTTAGGTCTTTTAGCCATCCAACTTTTGCTCCAGTTTGACGATTGTTCTCTCTCAATGCCTTTGTTGACATCTATATATTAGATCATTAAAAAATGTATGCATACATGAACCCTGATTGAGGACATAGCTTTATGTCTTTCTTTCCCAGGGCTTCGTCCACCTCTATCTAATTAAGAAGTAGAGCTATAGCATTCTATTATATTCAAGGTGGCATTATTTCTTAATTGCATATAGAAGACTTCTAGGGACATCACAATTGGTCAGCCAGGATATCTTTTTATTTATTCAAAAAAACAAATTTTGAGCTTCTGTTATATGCCAGGCTTTGGGGATACAACAGTAAAAACCATAAGCCAGGTAACTGTTCTCCTACCAATTATAAACTAGGAGGAGAGGCAGCAATGAACAAGTGAAAGTATGATGTGTTCATTGAAGGAGTAAAACAGAGTGCTACAAATGCACACCCGGAATTTGGGAAAGGCTTTTCTAAGGAAATGATATGAAGCTGTAGCAGATGAATGAACTGGTTAAAAACTGAAGTTCTTTTAGAAGGCCCTGCTTTCTTGAAGCCTCATGAAGGAACCTTCCCTCCTGCCAGTAGGGCTGCTGCTTTTTCTTGCTAGTCCTGTAGTCACAGTCACCTGAATTATGGCTCTTATTGCTACCAGAGTTGTGAGAGCTGCTGCAATGATGCAGCTTAAAAGCTCCAAAACTGTTTTTTCTTCCGAAAAAACTCAATGAAAGGAAATTGCTATGGCAAAAATGGTGACACTGAAAAACTAACTGCTACCATCCACACTGAAGCCATCTCATCACATCCCAATACCACCGTTCTGTAGTCACTAGCACCACCCATTGTATAGGCTTACTTACAGCATACCAATGCAGTACCACTGCATTGAAAATAACCCATTTATCCTATGTCTTGTGCCCATTTATTTCATCGCCCTTGCATCCCGCAGAAAGTATTATGTGAACTATTTTCTAAGTTATTTTCGTTTTGTAATTGAAGATCTTCCCGGGAAGACTAAGCTGTGGGCCCATGGAGATGGCAGCAGGTGTATAAGACATGTCTGTGTAGCAGATGCCATGTTGTACTCAACATTGCTCTTCATTTAATCATAGACACTGTAATTGGACCAAGCTTTTGATGCCACCTCCTTTCACTTAGGATTTATAAGGATATTTACATTGGACTCAACTAATTCTAATCTTCAAAAGTTGTACTGGAAATGCTTGATACTGTAGTTGTCATACTACAGAGAAACAAATTACCAAAGCCATATTAATGAAGAACAAGTTATTATTCATTACTATTGTACCACATAGGCATTAATATGGTTTGGCTCTGTGTCCCCAACCAAATGTCATCTCAAATGTAATCTTCATAATACCCATGTATCGAGGAAGAGACCAGGTAGGAGGTGATTGGATCATGGGGGTGGTTTCCCCCATGTTGTTCTTGTGAGTTCTCATGAGATCTGACGGTTTTATAAGGCAGTTTTCCCTGCTCTTGCTCACTCTCTCCTGCTGCCTTGTGAAGAAGGTCCTTGCTTTCCCTTTGCCATCTTCCATGATTGTAAGTTTCCTGAGGCCTCCCCAACTGTGCAGATCTGTGAGTCATTTAAAACTCTTTCCTTTATAAATTACCAAGCCTTGGGTATTTTTTTATAGAGTATGAGAACAGACTAATACAGTCATCTTTATTTAAATGTAGATGATAGACACCCTATAAATACAAAGATTTGTAAAAGAGGCAAGCCGCCAAGACCATGCATTCAGAAACACATTTAGAAGATGCCTTTTTAGTAAATGTAAATGCATTTCTGCTTAGCAGATTCGACCTAGGAAATGATGAAGCCTTTGTGAAATAGTTTAAAGAGATTTTCATATACTAATCAGCTAAATATATTCAACATCCGGATAATTATTATTTAGAAGCATTCAGATCTGACTGGCTCATTGAAAATTTTGTCACATAAATGTGAAATAACAAATTTACTACCTAAAGCTATTCATTCCTAAATTTTGCATGCATTAATGTCATTATATCACCTCCTGTCTGGTATAGTAAAATGGGTAGTTTTTTTTCTATTATTGTTACTAAGAATTGTCTCTCCTACAGCATGCTTTGCCAACACTTTGTTATTGCTTTTCCTGGATGAGACATATTTTCTGAGAAAGAGTCAAGTTTTTTTGAATTTTGTCATAAAATAAAAATATGTATTAGGTACAGAAAAGATTATTCCTGATCCAAATTTCTGTATTGTGGGTGCTCAGGTCAGTGGTCAGTGGACTATACAAAGAATAAACTGATGCAATAGATAAACTGGGTAATTGCTCAGTGTATTGACTTTATATCTCATAAACCTATGGATCTCTAAAGTTGATATGCCATAAACTTGTACTTACTTGAACTGTTCCTACTGAGCCCTCTCATTGACCACAGTAAAGGTCCTTTTGTAGCCCACCCAAGATTGACTCAGATTAGATAAGATCCAGAAGACTGGATAAGAAATATTTACCAACATATCTCACATCCTACTCCTACCTCAAATGCTTCCAAAATGAATTTCTTATTACCATATTTCTTTCCTTAATTAATTTTCTATACTATTTATTTTGAATCATTTTCCCAGTTAGTATGTTTTGGGTTATTTGCAGCTATTCTACAATATAATAAATTCCGTAATTTCAACAATTTGATTTGTGATCCTTTATTCTTAACATCTTACTTAAAACAATGAATAAAAATCAAAATTTACATTTGAGTTGTTGTGAATTAGGTAATACATTCAGTGCTGTTAGGAAAAATGATGCTGTGATTCGTGAAGCAATAGTGAATTTTAAAAAATTTAATTTACTTTATCTCTTTAGAGTGTTTAAGAATACAAATATAAGGCAGTAAATGAAAGAAAACTCATAGTTTATTTTATCAGAAGAAAAAGGGTTGTCTATCTTAATCATAGCTCTTGTGATTAAGCCATTCAAATTAACCTGAAGAAGAAAAAAACAGAGAAGTAGAAGATGTGTGAAAATGAGATGGGAATTTAGTGTAAGGCTATTGGGCTATTTCATGGAATCTGAAGAAAGACATATATTTAAACTGCTTCAGGAACTGAACCTCATTATCATTAATTTTATTTTTAGGACCTTGCTTTCTCCCTGTCTTTGTGGGACATGAGAAGTTGTTGTCTTTGATTTTTATTACATGTTTGTTTGGTTCCTTGATTCAAGTCTCCTTTTACTCTGAAATCAGCATTTTCTTTATTCACAAGAGTAACCAAGGGAAACTAGATTTTGGAACCAACCTGCAGATCTAAAGAGAGAAGACCTGGTGAATCTTGCCTGAATCCAGTGCCCATTTCTGGCCCAATAAACAATGACCAGAGGTCAGTTTTACATAGTGCACACATGATTAGAAGTGGTCTGACCATATGGGATAGGAAAAAAATTTTCAGGAAAATAAAATAGATAATAGATTGAGTGAACCTCACAAGATGTCTCCTCTGTTGCTACAACATAATTTTTCAGAGGGAAATTTAAAATATCCATGTTAATGAGCCCTTGCTAATAATGGCTCTAATTAAGACCTTCTTTCAGAAAATGATTTTTTCACAAGTGGGAGATCACCTTGTAAGGAAAGAAGCCATCTTCTTGTATCTTGATTATAACTAACTATGATCTGGTTAACTACTGTTTTTTTTTATGGTAAATTTTGAAAAGTTCTATACTACAATTATGTTAGTCAAAGTTCTCTAGAAAAAGAAAACCAATAGGATGGATTAATGGATAGATAGAGATATGGATAGATGGATGGATGGATAGATAGATGGATACATAGATGATAGGTAGGTAGATAGATAGATAGATCTATTTTAAGGAATTGGCTTGTGCAATTTGTGAGTTCTGGCAACTGGAAAGTCTAAAACCTGTATGGCAAGCTGGCAGGCTGGAGATTCAGGTAAAACTTGAAATTGTAGTCTTGTGTCTGAAAGCCAGAAACTCAAGTAGAATTTCTATGTTGCAGAAGAGAAGCAGGATCCATTCTTTTTCAGGAAACCTCAGTCTTTTCTCTTAAGTACTTCAATTTATCGGATGAGACCTATGCACATTATGAGGGATAATCTGCTTTATTTAAAGTCAACTGATTGTAAATGTTAATCACATCTTTTTATAACAAAATCTAAATGAAGTTTGACTAAACACCTGTCACTATGGTGTAGTAAGTTGTCACATAAAATTAATTATCACAGTCACTAAGTATTCTTGTTTTTTTATATTAATGCTGAGCTGCTAACTACTTAAAGCTCTAGAAGAAAAGCCTATGTTGTCTTTTTCATCTTCTTATGATTATATTTTCTAGCATTTTAGTATCCAGTCTGCTTCTATATTGTTATTTAAGAATGACAAGACAGACAGAAATGCACTTGTATATGTTTTCTTTTACAATTCTTTTTTTTTTTTTAATACTTTAAGTTTTAGGGTACATGTGCACATTGTGCAGGTTAGTTACATATGTATACATGTGCCATGCTGGTGCGCTGCACCCACTAACGCGTCATCTAGCATTAGGTATATCTCCCAATTCTTTAAAAAATTTCAAGTTTGGAATTTCGTCATTAGCAAATTGTTTTCATATTCTTTCAACAAATGAAATTTACATCATTACAAGATATGTGACAATGTTAGGAAAAAGATGTTTTAGGATTGCAAGAAATTAAATAACTCCTATTTTTATTGTTACAAATGGCCAAGTCAAAAAAAGAAGATAAAGCACCTCGAGCTATAGAGAGTGTTGTGAATAAATTCTAATGCAAGTCAAATATTGATGAAAATGAGAATGCATGAGAAAAGAGAAAGTTCACAGGAGATCTGAAACAATTAGATGAGAAACTAAAACTCTTCTGAAGAAACTAAGGACATCAACAAACTAGCAAAACAGAATGACAGAATAACTGAGAAATGAAGAGAATTCAAAATAACTAAATTTGGGAAATGAATAAAAGGTTGCAGATTCATTATGTCAAATTTATTTACAAAATTCAAAGGCTAAGCAGAACTAGGTTTTAAAAGCTGAGGGTTCAAATACAATTTTCATTAAACTTAATTTAACGATGCAAATTATTTAATCTCAATTTTAACTCATCATCTTAAAACAACTTATATTTGGCAGTGATTGATGTGGTTCTAGTAAACAAATGGATATTGGGCCCTGGATTTAAATTTATAATCACAAGTCAATTACCCAAAATCTACATCTTATCAAGTACATGAAATGTTTTTATCTATAATATAGAGCTGTATCTTTTATATTTGTTAAAGAGAATGAATAAAGTATTATAAAGTTCTCAAGCCCAGGTTACCTTATGTTGTTTAGAAAGACATCCTTCTATTTGTTGTCACCACTATTAATGCATGCTGCCAGCTAACACACCCTAAATTTAACTGAACTGTGTAACTCAGAATGAGAACATTCCTACTCATGCTACATGCTGGTAAGTTCTGGAGCTGAGTTGCCAAAAGACTCAATCCATCTATTCAAATACCCAGAATATTCATTTTCTTAAAATACTTAGATTAGTATTTATTACATTCTAATGTGGAATTTCTGGTAACTTTTTTTCTGGTAGTTCATACTCTACACTCCAACATAAGGCTATAAAAAGGAGATTAAAAAAACAGACTACATATTATTCAATTTTATCTCCAAACAAGGGAAGATCAAGCTCTGTGGGCAGAAAACCTTGTTGTATGTTTAAGGAACTATGCACACAGAGCACACATGAGTAGAATTTGGTGTACTAATCAAATAAAAGACATAAAATGTTAATGAAACATTTAATGGTCTACATAATCATTATTGTACAGCATAGTAATTAGGTATAAAATTGTAAGAAACTCATTGAAAGTCAATAATCATACTGTTCTTTTGTGATGGTCTGAGTTCAAACAGTGTCTTCACAGCCTCTTCTTGTAGTGACAGGAGAAGATTCTACTCAAGTAGTATTGGGAGTTCTGGTCATTCATCTTATCAAAACAGTTCATAGTCAGATCAGCTGAAGGAAAGGAAAGAGGATTCAAGAAAAGGGGTAAGAAAACTATTTCATAAGGAATTAGTACATGTAAATGAAAGATACACTATTTGAGATTAGTTTTCTGTTTTTTTTAAATAATTTTTAACATGGTCATTTTGGTTGTTTTCCAGAATATAAATAAAGCTAATTTAATACTTTTCCCCATCACCATATATTGTCGAATCTCTCTGCCTCTGTCTCTCTCTTTTAGATAAAATAGTACCTTATGTGCTGAATTCTCCTCAATGTTAATTTCCCATTAATGCTCTTCCTTAAAAAATCAACATAATATTTTCACAATTTCCCAAATGCTTGGGAAGCAGGAGGGCAGCATAAAAAATTATCCATGGCAGTAAAATCAGTATGGTAAGAATGGGGGATTATGTTGGGGGTTGAGGCAGAGGATGAAATTTTAGGCCAAAAGCCAACTAACAGGCTTAAAGGGAAGAGAGCCATAGTCCACAAAGTGCTCTAGGGATGGATATGAGCAGGGCAGGTGCTGGAGGAAGAACTTGAAATAGGTCATCATACCACTGCTTAGGTAACAATCAGATCCAGAGACGGAGAGATTATAGTTGCTGGTGACAGCATCATGAGTGTTCCTCTGATTTAAAAGAAAACAATCTTGGGAAACACTCTCAGAGCCTGGGATGAAAAGCAGAAACACTGATTGCCCTTCTTCACTGTGCCACTCCCTCAGCTCCCTGAAACCCCCAAGGTAAATTTCCCTCAAGAGACATCCACTTGCTCAGCTTGGGGGTCAGCCGATCAATTCTTGACTAGTAGAAATCTCAGAGCTGCAATTTTCATCATCATACTGGTGTTAAACTAGGTCACAACTCTCCAGTTTTCTTCCAGGCAACCATCTTGTGGTGGCTACTTCTGATAGTCTGACCTTTGTGTTCATCTTCTCCCAAGACTCAGCCAAGGACCTGAGGGTTACCATGTAAGGGCAAGAAGGAAAAACAATATCCTCTTTACCACACCCCTTTCCCTCTTCCCATTCCCACTTTAGCAATCTCCATTTTCTATTTAAGATGATAACCCAAAGTAAAGTGGAAAGCTCTTATTTTTTCACTCATGACAGCTACATGCAGGTGAGAGGAACCTGGTAGAAGCATCCACTTGTGTCTTAAGCCAAACACAACACAGCAATTTGAGACTGAGAGATAAAAGCTTTTCTTGGCATCCAGCAATCCTCCATGTAACCTTTTAACATGTATATGGAAAGCAGAAAGGACTAGAAAGTCACAGGCTTACCTGCCCCAAATTTTCTCCCAATTGTGTCTATATGTTTTCATCTACATTCCCTGGAAGGAGTTGGGCAATTTCTTTTCCTCCCTGCATTGGTCCTTTCTTTCAGCCTCTTCCGCCCCGGAGTCATTGCCCCAACAGAAGTGCACACTCTTTATCCACTTTTTTTCCTTTTCTCAGATCTATATTTAAGAACACAATAATACAAATGGTACATGCTCCTAAACCTGTAATCCTGATGATTTAACTCATCCTACAAAGTACTTGTTAGAAAATATAAGATAATATCAAACCAAATTTGATTTCTTTTGCACAGAGCAATAACTTTATGGGAAGAAAACAGAGTTTGGCTGGCTGGCCTCCCATTTTGGGGGCCCAATATTGAGAGCTGAGTACTCCCCAGCTTATAGTCCCTTTCAACTGCAGTCTGTCAGATTCCTCTTAGTTTTTTATTTTTTCTTTTATTCCAGGATCCTACTTCAATTTAACCTCTCCCCACTGTAAGTATTTATTCTTCATGTTTACTAAATATCTCTGGATATGTATCTTTGAAATATGTATATATCTTTGAAAATTATATATAGTACTGTTTTATACATGTATTTAAATTTAAATAAATTGAATTGCACTAGAAATCTGATGTTTTTTCTTCTTTTGTTTCAAGACAATGAGATCTATGTAAGCATTATCAGAATATCTGCATTGTATTTCAGATGCTTCAGAAGTTTTTCCATCACATTTCATTTTATTTAGTCCTATAATAAATTTCTCACTTAGACTCTTAAATTACTTTCCAGTCTCTGCTATAAGAAAACAACAACAACCACCAAATATTTATTTGTATTTGTGTACTAGTTTCTCTGAGGTATGAAACTAAGTGAATTTGAATTTCTTGGTGATAGAATGTAGCTAATGTTATTTCACTGATTCTCAAAATGGCCACACTAGCCTAGATTCCCATCAGTAATGTCTCAGCTTGCCTGCTTCTGAACATTCTTACTAATATTTGCTATCACCCAATAATCTATTTTTGCTAAACTAATATTTGCAAGGGGATATCACTATTGTTTTAGTTTCACTTCTCACTTCATAATGAGGTTGAACATATTTTCATATAATTTAGATTTCCTTTTTGTTATCTACTAATATTCATATTAGGTTTCCTGTATTTTTTATTCACCTTGGTTCCTTACGTTATGTTTTTTTGGTTTTTCTACTGCAAAAATCTCCTCCCAGTCTGTCAACTGTCTGTGGACTTTGCCCATAGTACACCCTAATGCCCCCCTCCCCACCCTTGTTTTTTTTTGAGACCCAGTCTCACACTGTCACACAGGCTGGAGCGCAGTGACGCCATCTAGGCTCACTGCAACCCCCACCTCCCGAATTCAAGTGATTCTCCCCACTCAGCCTCAGGAGTAACTGAGATTACAGGCATGCACCACCACGCCCAGCTAATTTTTGTAATTTTAGTAGAGATGGTGTTTCACCATGTTGGCCAGGCTGTTCTCAAACTCCTGACCTCAGGTAATCCGCCCTCTTTGTCCTCCCAAAGTGCTGGGATTACAGGCGTGAGTCACCGCACCCCACTACATGCCCTTTTTTCTCCCTTTTACCTCTCCAAATTTTCATCATTCACTAATGCCTAACTCAAAACATTCTTTCTTATTAAACATGTTTTACTACTCAAGTATTATGAACTCCTTTATAATTTATTATCTATAGCATCATATGTCACTTACAACATACTCTTTGAGATATTAGATGTATTTTTATAGTATGCCCTCAATATGATAGATTGTGTTTAATATAGTTACACCTTTTATGATGCCATTGTGCCTAACATAGTGTTTAGGAAACAGCTGTCTATTTATTGATCAGATATATTTGCTGAGGTCCTTAAAATGTGATTGCCATCACCCATCATGCGTTATTGTTAGGTGATTCATTTATCAGCACATTTTACTTGGTCATAAAGGCTCAACAAGGTTTTATTATTGTTTTACAATGAATGTAGCGATAAAACCTAATAGAAAAGACTTAGTAAATGTTCTTGTTAGTAAAGCTTATGTGCGTATGTTAGACATACTGGAAAGCTGTTATTCCTGTTACATCAAAAGTATTGATTGACTTTGAACTTCTAATTGTGCTTGCTTACTACTTATTTTTCTCAAATTGTACATAAACATTGCTGTTAATTTTATAGCAAAATGTATTATAATACAGTGATACATGTATTAAATCATTTCCTGATACACATACATCCAGCGGCATATAATGGCACTCTAACCAGTTTCTATGGGGTTTATTCTCATGATTATTGTCATTATGATCTTCACTCTAGTAGGAATGCTAAACATATGATTACTGTTTTTGAGGTGATGGGGTGCTAAGTATTGTAACATTGTCCTGATTGAACTACTAACTATTGAAAAAAGGTTGCATGCAAAAAATGAAAACATAAAAATGGAACCCATTTAACCAATTCCCCCAACCTTGCTAATTTTCCAACCCCAAGTCTGGACATATAAAACATTGATTAAGGGATCAGCAACAAATGCACACATGGTATTAATAATCTTTTCAGAACCAAAGCTTGACTAGATTAGGTTTCTTAATAGAAGGAGAGAGTCGTTAATTACAAATTGGCTTCAAATTAACTGAGATTTGCTTCAAGATAACTGAGATTATCCTAATGGAAAAGTCCCCTTAGATAACTTCTCTTGAGGTTCATGGCCAGATGAATAAGAACTGATTGAGTTAGACTTGTCTGTTTCACCCAAGACTTTCACAACATAGAAACGGTTCATTCCTTTTGTCTCCTACCTTCATAAAGTCTCAAAGACTGCAGCAGATGGGTGCTTAATCATTACCAATCTTGCTGAGGCTTTGCTGAAGTTGACACTTTGGTAACCTTTGGAAAATAAGGCACTTTAAAGCCTATATCACAAGGCCTATGAAATTTGTTAAAATTTAACAAACATTTTGAAAGAAATAATTAATATCTACATATAAACATATCCAATATATTTTTCTTGAAACACCTACATACATGCATACTTACATCTTGAAGTAAACTTTCTACTCACAGGTTAACATCTATCTTTATCTATTTATCTATTACCTTTGAATAAATGCAAAGAGTATCTTTTCAGTTTCCTGCACAATATTAATAAGGCAGCATTTCTTAAAAGAACATATGCATACAGAGAATTTTTCCAACATCAAAGCCAAAGTGTTGATTTTTTCTACATATTGAATGACAAAATGTAGTCTTTATAAAAAGATAATACATTTAAAATTTATTAACTTCCTTACTTAAATTCTCTAGTTAATCTTGCTTTTTATAAAAAAATCTTTTTATTGCAAAGAATTGGCAATTTTATACACACACATATTTATATAGTTTCAACTTGAAGAATTATAGTAAAGGGTATCATAGCTTCAGTATGATTAACTTAGAGTTGTAGGGCACAAATAACCTTCAAATTTTATCAGTAAAGAACTATCACAGGCATTTATTTCAGTGTCATGGATGTATCTCTCTTCAGGGCACCAACAGATTTTTCAGACATCCCTCAAAATACACAAATGGACTGGATGTCAAGTCATATAATTCTACTTGAAAAATGTTTTCATTAAACCACTTTATCAGCGTCTACACTTGTTACAAATTTCATCCAAGGTCTATAACAAATCTTTCTACTCAATTTTGTTCCCTTTCTCCAATTCATTCTGTGTAAGTTTGAAGTGGTTAACTGAAAAACAAGACCATATACCAATCCAAGTATAATATAAAGAGAATCGTTTCATTTACATGGCCTCTAGAAAATTAAGGAGCATAAATCAACTTTCTGATGATCCTGAGAAAGCAAGAACAAGTCTTGTACTCAATGACTTCTTTTTTAAAAAAGCTATTCATTGCACAATCTTCTAATAATAATAATTCATTTAAAATAATGCATAAGCCCATGATTCTAATAAATCTACTTCATTTTCATTTTGCCATGTTTTCCTCCAATTTCCACTAATACTTATGGTTTACATAAGATACTTACATAACAAATAAAACTTTGTATTTTCTTCTTTTTAAATGTAACATTTTTATGTCAGGCTTCCTTTCTTTGATGACACATAGACTTCTAAAATATCATTTTTTATTTTCACAAAATATACCATAGAGTTTATGTACTCAATGAATTAATTGATCTTTTTGTTTGGAACATTTCATTTGTTGCAGCTTTTGCCTATTTATGCCAATACAATTAGCTATAATTTGTTTATTTTCCTTCAGATAATTTATCTGTGTTTAGGTGCTTATACTACGATTATAAACTCTTTACTTTTTTCTATCTCTGAAAAGTATCATCAAATTGCTTTCTAAAATAAATAAAACTAGTTATACTGACACTAACAGAATAATCCTGTACCCATATGAAAATAGTATTGCAACACTGGATATTATCAAAATATTTATTATTTGAACATACTATAAATAATTCAATATTTAATTATTGACATATTGTGTTTTTATTGATTTAATTATAGTACATAGCAAATATCCACTGACTCATATAAATAAATTATATTCTTGTTCTTATCTACTTAGGAAAATAACTTTCCCAAGTCATTTATATTTAGAAGAAATAGTCTAGGGAACATTGCTGCTTGCAAATAGCTCTAGAAAAAGGTACAGACTTGATTATGTAAATACACCTATCTGGCAACTCACTATATTTCTTTTTAAAAAATATATAAATATGAAAAAAATTATGTATACAATATTGAGTATAATGCAGAATCTCAATATAGCGGGATATTGGGAAAATATAAACATAGTTTTGTGGCCAAAGCACCAGAGGTTTCTTCCAAAGACTTTAATCACAAAAGAAGATCCATTAAAATGGTATTCTCCCACAATACACAAGCACAATAATTATGGTCAGAATTCAACATATTTATTTTAACTTAACATATCAAGCATGTTTCCTTATTGAATCACATGAAGAGGCCTCCTTGAGAAGGAAGGATGGCATGAGCACTTCAGGCTAATAGAGAAATGGATCCAGAGGAGGAAAGAGAACCACAGGGAGCAAGAGAGGATTCCTAGAAAAACCCTGGTTCCAAGTCTCTGTGTATGTTTCCAGCACCTACTTCAAAATGTTGTGATAAGTATTAAATGAGTTACTATGGACAATATCCTCTAAATAGACCCTGCTAGCTATGCAATATCTGTTCCCTGGCTACCTAATATTCAGGTCTGTAGACCCTAGAAATTAAGGCATTTCCTTGCATTCCAATACTTTTCTCATCTCCCTCATCTGCCGTGACTATATTATGCTCATATTTACCTGGGACAGTTCTGGTTCTTGCTTACTGTCAAGGTGTTATTACTCCATGTTATAACTCCATTATATGGTGTTAAACACTCCCTTTTTCTCTTATGTTCAAAAGTCTCCCATTTTACACAATAATTATTACGGTCACCATATATTACCCTGTGTATTTTCCCTCCATAATATTTGTCACCATCTAATATACTGTATATTTATTGTGGATGCATTTATCGTCTGTCTTTGCCATATGTAAGCTCCATAGAAAATAATCTGTCTTTTTAATTCATTGTTCAATGTCTATAAATATGTCTGATACATGAAAAAATCTCAAAAAATATTAGTTGAATGAATGAACTAACCATTTTGAGCATGGTAGAACTACAGCTGGGAGAGTTTCATGCTTAAGGCGGGAGTGAGACGTGTCCAAGCCACTCAGAATGCCAAAGTGGGACAGTTGATGGAGGTGGTCTGATCAGCTGTAAAGGGAGAATTGCTGCAGTCTTTAAAGCCAGAAGACACTTTCTGGAGACAACTTTAACATTAGTAAAAGCTTTTTAAAGAAGGATTTCTTTAATTACTTTAAAGAAGGATTTCTTTAACGACTGCTGTTACTAAATTTGCATTCTCTTAATGTTAAATAAAGTTGCCTTGATCACTTTTATCCTAAGATATCTGGGGCTTATAATTGGAGATGGAGATTGGTTCACAAAAATACTGTGGTTTGTACTGTATAGTTTGTATTGTATAGTATGTACACTTAATTCCCCTTAAAATTACCCCAATCATAGACTGTACTTTAGTCAGTCACAAAGACTGTTCTCTGTGCAGAATATAACATGACAACTTGATGGGTGTTGAAAAGAATGGCACAGCAACTCACCAACTGTATTTCACATTATTAGTATAATCAGAAAACATTTCTTTGGGTCCTGTTGGCAAAGCATGCTGCTGAATTCCAGGAAGAGTTTGAAATAACTTCTCTTGATATCTGAAATACTTGTATGTATTTATATTAAATATAGTGTACATAACATAACACATTTACCATAAAAATTTGAGCTTTATTGAATGTCTGTTGTGTTCCAGATATTGATCTAGGCACTGGGAGGGCACCCCACCTGCCATCAAAGAGTGCCCCATCCAGTGGGTGAGAGAGACAGGGAATGACTTTTGTCCAGTATCATTGGAGCTAAGAGAGTATTTGGCAGCGTATTAAAGGAGCAAATCCAAATGTAGAGTGTGTCGTGATTGATCTCTGCTTTGAGTTTCCACTGAGGAAAGTTTCTTGTCAATATACTAAATGAATAGAAGGATTTATGTTTAAGGGGTTGGTCTTTCAAACTTCTTTATGATAATGATAGTGACTACTTTCAATTAATACCACAGGGATTGAAGAATCATCTACTCTAGGAGCTTGTATGAAAAAGATGAAACCATAATCTATTTGTTCCAAGAGAAATAAAATGACATCCCAAATTCTCTTTCAGTCTTTCAGTTTTATGAAATGCGTCACTTGCCCCTAGGGTATGTGATCCTGAAACTGTTTATCTAATGTTCAGGGATAAGAGGGGAGTGTCTGCCTATTTCTGTGTGGAAGGCTTTCCTGTACTATAGACTTTCCATTGCCCCTAAAGCAATGCCCTTTTTCAGGGAACTTGGAAATAATCCTGTTAAACAGGCTTACCTTTGCACTGTATTAATATTCATATTTAGGCAGTGAAAAGGCCTTTACATTTTCCTGACATGTCAGGAATAGGCTTAAGTTTTACTTTCTATGCAGTCAGCCTTTCTAAGAGAAAACACAGGGTTTCAGTTTATATTTCCGAAAACCAAAATAGACCCATCTTACATAAATGAACAGTGCCATTGGCTGCAATTTACATCTCAATGTAAATGTCATTTCCCTGCTTACTGTTGAAGCTTTAAGTTCAGGCTTTGAAAAAAGCGCTATCTGTTCCTGTTATTATAAGCTACATTCCTGACAGCTCTCACATTAATGACAGCAGATTGCTTGCTTAGTGTCTTCCTTTTTGGAGCTTATTTTGTCATCATTCACCCATTCTTTGCCTGCTCACAAACAGAATACATTCTATTGAGATTTGGAAAAGTTATAAGCTTTTAGACTCAGAAGATAACTTCTTTTTCTGGGTTACTTGACAACAGACCCACAATTTACTTAGAAATTGAAGCCTACACACCTTAGCTAGGTTCCATTAAGGTTGGAAGGTGGATAGAAAATTACTGTTTCCCAGGTATCACATGTATGCTTAACACATTTAAGAGTAAGGATAAGCTGTCATGAGGGATTGAACCAAATAAAATAAATTTGATTTTGTATTTTTTCTGCAGTATGAAAAAACAAACCTGATTATGTTTTTAAATTTTTTTAAAAATATAGAAAAATATCTTATTGTTACGTAGTCAACATACAATAAGCAAATTGTTTTATATCATTCAGTGACTTTTATAAGATTATACAGCTTGAAATAGCTAATGGGTAAAATATAGAATGCAGAGTGCTGAAAGCTGATTCTTTAAAGGAGATTTATTCCTGTGAAAGGATTTTGACACCATGGTGATGATGATATAGTCTGAGGACTATTGTAAAAGGCAGATGATGATATTGGATAACAACATGTTTGGAAAGGAAAAAGAGAGATAAAAGCAAAATATTATGTCATTTCTGGTTGTGGTAGATAAGACAGTTGCCTAGTTTTAAAAACAATGAGAATAGGAATGTTAAAGGAATATTTCAAGAGAAAAAAATGGTAACCATAAAAGCTATGCCTCCATATCTTTGAGATGAGATGATATTCATGAAAGCTCTTTTAGTTATTTGGAAGACAGTAAGTAGATGGAACCAGATTGCTATATACTATTATTATCTGAACGAAAAGCTACATTTTTCTCTGAAACTTAAATTGTTGTGACATATGAAAGAAGATGATGGTAAGACTTCTAGTGGAGGTTTTTTCTTCATCAAATATAGCATAATAGACCCTTCCATGTTAAAGAGATGTCAGATGGCATAGCCAGAGCCACAGGATACAGAAGGCTATATACTTGTCTGGAAGCTTGAGCTGCAAATGTATTATGTGAAAAAAAGACAAAGTCATATTACTCAAGGATTAAATGTATAAAAATAAGTCAATGCAAATCTTAACATATTACTAGATTATTAGATCCTTGACCAACGATGATCAATACTTGAAGACATCGATGATAAATCATGAATTATTTTTCACTCTTTGTATTTTCTTTTCACATTGGGGAAAATAGTACATTCTTGATAACAATTTTGTGGTTAGTTGCTTCCTAGCTCCTTGCCAACATATTCTCCTAATCTGTTCACTCATTATATGCCAATGTACCACTTATCTGAGGGTGACGCTTACTATTATTACACAGGAACGCATTATGGAAAGGAATAGGGCAGTTAGAAGGAAGACAGAGTATGAGTTTTCTGATTTTTTTTTTTTGGTCAACAAAACAAACACAAGAATTATGAATCAGAATGGGTCATGTGGCTTCTAAATGATGAGAATGTTATCACAAATGTGATTCTGATTGTACAATCGAAAATAATTCTGATGGGTGAGAGAAGGATTAGTTTCCCAAAGAAAGCCATGTAACTGTGCAAAGACTGCAACAGTAAACTTGGATTTTTGCAAGAGGACATGAAGCAAAGACTGAAAAAAAGTCATAGAACCCAGGGCAAATACGGAAGACTGACATGGTATGATAAGAATGATGTTAGCAAGGACAAAGTCTCAAATTAGCATCCCAGAACTCATCTTTCTGGGAGGGCGCAGCTTGGATTTGGGGACATTCTTCTGTAGTCTATAGAGACGCTATTATTTCCACTGACAGAGATCTATTGGGGTGTCTTCTCCACAAGATTGCGATCTCCGTAAGAGAAGAAAACATGCTTTTATGTCTTAAACTCCTAATGAAGTCCCTGTTATAAAGAAAGGAATTTAATAAATGTTTGATGAATAAATGAAATATTGTGTACACATCATGTCAAGGGCAGCAAATGCAGGGTGGGGATACTTTTAAAAGTCATATACGATACAAGAAAATCAAAGAAAGGATACACTTGCCGCTGGCAGTCAACAACAAAGAATACAGATCTCTGGCATTTTGAACTTATATTTCCTGTCAATAAAAACAATCTTGAAACAAAAGAAGATGCACTAAACCTAAGAGAGATTGGATGCTTAATAAGAATGAAAATTGGAAAAGGACATTGACCTGCTCTGAATGAGGTTAAGCTTAGGTTGCCTAGCCTACTTGATTATATTCCAGTTCAGGAAATAATTTATTTCATATGTAGATCCTTTATAAGAGTTTAAAATGTTATAACAGGCTACCTTGAGAGACAGTGAGTTTCCTACCCATGGAAAATTTTAAACAAGGGGTAGTTACTGACTTGATGGAGATAAAATAGAGGAGACACAGCATCAGAGAGTGGTTGGACTGAACTATATAAAGATTCTTTGTCTTCAACTCTAAAGTTCTAAGCATATAGCAATCTCTTGAAGTCATCTCTCATCTTAAGAGTTTGGCTTAAGTCTTACAAGTTTACTTCTAAGAAATTCATTTTTTCCTGCTGTTAATTTCCTTTAACACATAAAATCATTTTAGTAGAATGTTAATGTGAATTATAATTATTACTTTATTAAGAGTTGTGCTTTAGCAAAAGTAGTATGAATTTTTGAGTCAACTCTGGTATAAAATAGTAATTATGGGCATACAATTTGTTTCATTTATTGTTTGATTTCATCTTGGTTCTGCTCTTACTATGGTATCATTTTGGGTAAGGTATGTAATTTCTAAATTTCAGTTTACTCATCTATAAATAAAAATAACAGTTTTTCTCATAGGGCTGCTCTGAGAATTAAATAAAATAATGCATGGAATAATGGCTAGCAAAGATCATGGTACATGATAATTGCCTCAATAAATGTTAAGTCTAATTTGCTAATATGTAATTGTTCTGACCCTCAAGTTTTTCAACTGTGAAATGGAGTAAAGCAGAATCATTTCGAAGAATTATAGTTAAGATTTAATGAGATGTGAAAAGCAAACAGCACAGAGCCTGACTCACAGTAGTAGATTAACAGTTGCTAGTATTCTCTTCTCTCTTGAAGATCTTCAGGACTGTGGGCGATATTTGCCACACTTGTCCATTTTTGGTCTTAGCTTGCATGAGCTGTGTTTCTTATTAATCTTTGGAAACACATGTTTAAATGCCAAACCAGCTATTTCATGGATTGAAACAGTGATTTTTAATGTTTTCCGGGGGCTTTAAGCCTCTTTGAGAAGCTGCTAAAAGCAACGGCTCCCCTTTCAAGAAATTCACATATGTGTATATATCCACAAATTTTGCAACCGATTTCAGCTAGTTTATAGATCCCTCAAATCAGTTCGTGGTCCTGTGGACTCCAAGTTAAACACTTTGGTCTACTGCACATCCCAGTTGTGCATGAAGACACATAAATAATCAAAATGGAATCATCCATTGCACCTTGCTATCTGACTGTATGCACATCAATACTGTATTCATTTGAGTTAGTGCTTTCTAGTTTAGTTTCAATGCTTCCAGAGGTCGCACACATAATTTTTACTTTGGAGCATGACTAATACACCAGGGTTCACAAGTGGGCAGCCTTCATAAATACTAATTGATATTAAAACTAGATGAAGAAAACCTCACTGTCTGAGAAATACCACCTAGGATTTAAAAAATGAAACCAAAATGTCAACTTGTTTATATAAGGGGCTATAGCAAGGGTAAGAGAGAAGTCAAGAACTCCAAATTAATAAACATTGAAAGTAAATATATGCATCCATATTCAGGTAATAGCTTACCTAATTCAAAGCAACAAAATGCAATTTTCCACTTGCCTAGTTTCATGATTTGATTGAGCCACTCTAAACTTCTTCCTTCCGTAGCTGTCTCTGATCTAATTGCACCAGCTAAGCACACAAGCTGTTTAAACGTTGGAGAAAAGTATAGCTTTGTGAAATAGATTTCTCACACTTCCCAAGAATTTGCCAATACTAAAAAAAAAAAAAAAAAAAAAAAAAAAAAGGCTTTTAGACACTCAATATCCTTCTCCCCAAATCACTGATTTTAAAAGTACTATGAAAAGATAAATAATTTCTGATAAATAGATGTAATAGATAAACATCTGTTGCCAGACCAGGAAAATGCAACGAGTGTATTTAGAACTGTTCAAAATGGTAAGTAGCATTCTTCCAAAATGTGTTAACAAGAGATCTCAGTGTGAACTTTTTTTCTCACGGTAGGATTTTTTTCATGATAGGATTATCCTGAATTTTGTATTATGTTAACACCAAGTCATGGTTTCTGAGACTGCATGTTAACTATTATATGTGTCAGATGTTATGAAATTCTACTTTTTTTATATATAACAGACCTTGAAAAACATGTATTCAGTTCAACATATTTTCTGTACTTTAGGTACTTATAAAGAGCTAGGTGGGGTACTGTGTCTCAAGCTTGTATCCCAATGCTTTGGGAGGCTGAGATGGGAGGATTGCCTGAGGGCAGGAGTTCAAAATCAGCCCGGCCAACAAGGAGACACTGTCTCTACAAAATAATAATAATAATAACTAGCTAGGTGTGGTGGCACATGCCTGTAGTCCTAGCTATTCAGGAGGTTTTGTCAAGAGGATCACTTGGGCCTGAGAGTTAGAGTTACAGTGACTCTGTCTCTAAAACAAACAAACAAACAAATAAAACAAGTAAAAAATAAAGAAGTATGCTATCAACTGCTTCTAACATATCTTCAAGGAAATAATTACATTTACTAAACTTTATTAACTTTTTCATTTTAAATGTTTTTGGAATTTAGGGGCTTAGAGTTTATCAGAAAGGAAATCAACATTATTTTGTAAGAGTTTATGGCCAGCTTCTAGAGTCAAAGTAAATTCAAATTCTGGCCCCATCATTTACTATTTCTGTGACCTTACAAACTTGTGGTTCTGACTTTGGTCTTTAGCCCCACGGTTAGAACAAGGTGAATTACTCGGAAAAGCACATAAAGGAGTCTAGTCAATTCAATTTAACACTAAATGAAAATTTAAAGAATGTATGCAAACTGAGTGCTACCAATTAGTTTGAGTAACCAAAATTATTGTCATAAGTAACTAGATTCTAATTTGTGAGAAATTTTTATGTTTTATTTACAATTCAGAAATCACTACTCCTGTGTATTAATTGTATATATCTATATATCTTCGGAATTTGACACTTCTGCAATCTGTTTACATGAGATGAATGTAGATTTTTAAAGAATTCTCCCTTAAAACTTTGCTACTCAGAATATGATCTGGGGACCAGCAGCATCAGCCTCAAGTGGGATTTGTCAGCTTCAGAAATGCAGAATCTTAGGCCTCCCTCAAGACACTGACTCTGAATCTATGTCTTAACAAAGTTATTAAAAATCTGTATGGACATTGAAATGGGAGAACACTGTCCTGAAGAGTGATAAATATGACATCTTTCTGGAGTACATTATGTTTAATTTTTTTAATTTAGTTGTTTTCTTTTAAAAGAGATCTGCTTATATTAAAACACATAATGCAAAGTTCTTGTGAACTTAAAAAAAAAGAAGCAGAAATCTTAAAAGAAATGTAACGATTGCATTAGGCCAGAGTGAAGTGGCCAAAGGAGACACTTTTCTACTTTCAGTAGTATGAGGAGAGAGAAGTTTTAAAGAATTGCCTAACCAAATGCAGTTCTAGAACACTATCCAATCACAGGTCCCATTGAAGATAGTTTCAGATAAATTCTGACTTATTGTTAGAATGTTCTTTTCTCTACTGGAAGAATCAGAGAACATTTTATTAGCCATATCTGATAAAGAATTTTTACTAGTTATTTAGTGACTAAGATTTAAAAAATCAGAACACCACTATACAATTTCCAGAGTGGCTGGAAAAAACAAGGTTTAGTTAACTATATAATTCACTTTACATAGTCTTTAGAAGTTTTCCATCTCAAGAAAATAATATCTCCTAGTTGTTTTCCAAAGTATCTACTTGATTAATAAAGTCCTACCCAATTACTTAAAAATCCTTATCCCCAGTGTGGGAAACACCACATAAGTGGTTTTCCTTAGAGAATGATGCCTTAACCTGAAGCATTTCTACCCTGTGCCATAAACATTAAATAATAGAAAAAGAACATTTTATCAACACAATGTAGGAGTGAAACCAGAAGTACATATATCAATCAGAAAACAGGCTGCCAAATAAAAAGCGTAGCTGAGTCTGAGACTTTTAATTAATGTACACTTGAGGCTCAGCAATTCATTTTGTCACTTTCGGTTCCCCTAACAGCCAAAAAGTAACAGGCAGAAAAGAATTAAGAAAAATATATACAAGAGAAAATTTCAAGCTTGAGAAAGTGAACTGGAAAATGTACATCATTATTTGATTTTTGCACATGGAAGAACTTGTTCCAAACTGCAGATTGTTCCTCAAGAGGGATACTGCTTTAAATATTTCTTGTTAGGAGCATTCATCGTACCATTGAACATATACAAGAACTATTCTGATTTGGGGTTTGTAGGCTTGAAACCTTCCATTGGGTGCAGTAGGGGGTGGAAACTGGGGAGACATTAGGAAGGAAAGCAAGACACAGCAATACTTATTTTTCTATGTTTAGGTAGGAAGATATTTAAATGTTTATAAAGGTTCTGTATCTTTATAAAAAGGAGGAATTGTTTCCTGTATTCTTCCATTTAATAATAATAGTAGGCTCATTTGTCAGATGTTATTCATATTTTAGAGATGAATAAATTAAGGCTCAGTGAAGTCATATGACTTTACCAAGGTCACAACAGAGATCCAAGACTGAAACTCAGGTCTTCTCATGGGAAGTTTTGCTACTAGGCCTACTACAGTAATTTTGAGAAAAAAACAAAACAAAATATCCCCAATTAAAACATGTAACAATAATAGTCATCACTACTTCTGTGCTTCCTATATGCCAGACTCTGATCTGAATGCTCCAATTGAGTTAATCCTCTACAGGGAATTCACATCAGGGATGTGCACAGTAAGACACAGAGATGTTACATAATAGTGACATAATTTCCCCTTAGCCACTCAGGTGGGAAGTGGTAGAGTCAAGATTTCATCTCAGATCACTGGGTCCAGACACTCTATTCTTAATCTTTTACTAATGTAATGCTGCTGTGAATATGCTTAGCCTAGTGTCTGACACAGAGCCAGATTTCCAAATAACTGCTAACAATCATAACTTTCAATATCTAAAATTGACTCCAATTAGCTAACAGAAAATATTTTTGGATGACAGCAATTGCATTGTTGAAAAAACACATTGGCAGATTGAGAGTTAAATATAATTAATCACTATTTAATTTGTGTATATAACTTTTATATATATATACACACACATATGTGTGTGTGTATATATATGTATATATGTGTAAAAATAGGATTATACCAGAACAGAACAAAATCAAGAGAATAATAAAGCCCTTTTGAATACTATAAAAACCCACACAGACAATATTCCTTATATGTCAAGATAACACACAGCAGCAGGCAATGCAGAGTCGATTTTCCTTTTCTCTTTAAAAAATAATTATTATGTTCCTATAAAACAAAATCTAAAAATATTTCTTCTTAATAAATTGGAGTCAATTTTAGATACTCATTGCCTAAGAGGTAAATTCAATATCCAATGTTTACTTATCAATAAACAGAGATGCAGAAAGTTAAATAAGTTGCACACACTCACAGTAAATTATAAGGCTCAGAACCTAGTCAGTGTGGCTCTAAAGCCCATGTGGAAAATTCCATAACAAATGAGGCTTAGTACCCCTATCTCAGTTTGTTTGCAATGTTGTAAAAACACACAACAGACTGGGAATTTATAAACAATATAAATTTATTTCTTATGGTTCTGGAGTCTGGGAAGTCCAAAATCAAGACCATTCAGTGTCTGGTGAGGGCCTTCTTGCTGTATCTTAACATGGAAGAAGGCAAAAGGGCAAGAAGACCTAGCTAGCTCTCTCTGGACCCATTATAGAGTCACTAATCCCATCCATGCATGCTCTGCCTTCATGACTGAATCATCTCCTAAAGGCACCACCTCTTTTTTTTTTTTTTGAGACAGTCTGGAATGCAGTGGGATAGTCTCTGCTTACTGCAACCTCCACCTCCTAGCTTCAAGTGAATCTCCTGATTCAGTCTCCCATGTAGCTGAGACTACAGGCATGTGCCACCATGCCTGGCTAATTTTTGTATTTTTAGTAGAGGTGGGGCTTCACTATATTGGCCAGGCTGGTCTTGAACTCCTGGCCTCAGGTGATCTGTCTTCCTCAGCCTCCCAATGTGCTGGGGTTACAGGCATGAGCCACCATGCCCAGCCTAAGCACCACCTCTTAATACTATAAAACATATGCATTTTTGTGGAATACATACATTCAACATATGAATATGGTTTGAATATACATTCAAACCATAGAACCCTATTTCAGATTCTTCTTTTTGGAAGGACTGAAGGAGGAAGAAGTTTAACACGAGAGACCTAGGCGGCTGTGAGGGACTGTGATTTAGTTCCAGAGCCAAATATATCTCTACAAAATACCCTCTATTTCTCACCCTTACTGTGTAAGAAAATGCAATGGCACCTGCACATTGCTTAATTTTCTCCATTAGTTTTCTGTTATATCTATGTATTTGGAAAGTAATGTGTGAAAGTGACTGTAGACATATTTAAATTTTATTTCAGACAATTGTCTCATTTGTTGAGCAAAACATTATTCTTTTATTATTCTTATTCTCACCTATTTGATACTACTTATCTTTGGAATATGTGTTCCAACAAAATAATACTTATTAATTTCTTTAACAGCTCTTGTTTGAAGGCTAAATTAAAGATATACAGTTTTATCTACTTTATTATACTTGTTTACCAATACAGAACAATATTTTTTAATATTAGTAGTACTAAAAATTTTATATTTGTTTTTATCAGCAATATTTTGAACATCTACCTCTGCTCTGTGTTTAAAACTTGCGTAAACTCTTTTACTCTCACCTGGGACAATGTACTGAGATATTTTATGAACTGGCCAGGACAAAACTTCCAACATAAGCATCATGTTTTTTTTTTTTTCACAAAGTAAAATAAAATACAAAAGTAATAATAATTCTTTACTTTTTGTACAGCGTTTTATAAAATATCACTCCTTCCACATGCATTTTCTCACTTGTTCCTGATTTGAAAAAACAAATGACATAGTTGAAGTATTGTTTTGTTTTGTTCTAAAGTTCTCAAAAATATTTACACAGAGCATAACTCAGATGTCAAACTGGTATCCCACAGATATATTTTGTTTGACATATAAAGCTTGTCTTTCACGTTTCCTTTAAAAAATGAAGTTTTTGTAATATTTAGAAATATTACATAATTTTAATGTAATTTTAAAATGGTCTTCTATATATAACAGCCAATATTTCATGCTTCATTTTAGCCTTCAAATTGGGAGCTGATAAAATTAATTCAGTATTATATTTAGAGATACATATTTCAAAAATACCATAACCATCTGAATCATAGTAGTAACAAAAGACTAACATTTTGGTTGATAACGTTTTACTTGATAAAACTTTGTTCCTACTTGACAACTTGTAAGATATGATCTCATTAGGACTACTGACCAGCAAACCATAAGAACCAGTTTCCTTCCTTACAGCGAGTAGGTATTCAGTTGGCCACATCTGTAGTTCCTCTCTGCTTAAGCCAAATATTCGTTGCTGCTACATGCAATATTATGCAATGAATAAACTCTATGAAAGAATCTGTGTGAATTATTAGAAGATTTCTTACCATGGTATCACATCTAGGATTCCAAAAGTAGGGTACTTTTTATTTCTATAAATGTGAGTGTTGGCATGTGTTTTAAATCCTCCAAATGAAGGATACTGGGTCGCAGTAACTAAGTGTACATTTTTGCTTTTAAGAAGGACAAATTGTAATGCAGGGGAGGAGGAGCACTCACAGAATGAATACAGATGGCTTGTTGCTTACTCAAGCTTTCTTTCTTTGCTCTGCTACTGGAAATGTCGAAGAAGGTAGTGGGAACCATAGTACCCTACCCTTTGCTTTCCAAACCGAGCACTTTATTCTGCTGTTTTTTTTCCCAGAATTTGTTAGATGATTTATTTAGGTGGTTCTGAGAAAATGTGAAACTTGCTTATCATTGGAAACAAATTTTCCATCTGCTAACCAAATATGTCACTCCCTAGATTTTCTGTATTCCTGAAAATGAGACTTCAGACACCTTTTGGATCATGACCTTGGTTTGTGTGTAGGTTTCCATGTATAGTTTTTTAACTTTTTAAAGATTTTTGAACTGACATACACAAAAGTTGGAGAAATAATAAGGTCTCCACCATTCTTTTATATTCCTCATCTTCACTTACTTTCCCTCATGTTAACATTTAATGTAGCCACAGTGTAGTGTCAAGAACAGAAAATAAAAAGTGGTACAATAACATGAACAAATGTATAGCGCTTATTCAATTTATATCACTTTTTCCACTGATGTTCTTTTTTTGTTCCAGATTCGTATCAAAATCATTTAGTTGTGATTTCTTCTTAGTCTATCCTGATATGTAACAGTTCCCCAGTCTTTTCTTGTCTTTAATGATCTTGAAACTTTTGAAACATATTGATCAAGTATTTGGTTTTCTTTTACATGGTTTTTTTATCACCTTCCCCAGCACACCCTCTGTCCTTGTGCAGATTTACATTAGGTTCTGTCCCTTTCAGTTTGTTGGAATAACTGCACTTAGGAGGATCTAGGTGGATGTGAACCATAACTTCAAAGATAAAAAGCAGATTTTATTTGGTGAGTTCATAAATCTCAACAGTCTTAAGCTCCACAAAGAGAACGCAAAGCAGAATAGAACAATGATTTAAAAGGAAAAGAAAGGACCAAACCAGAGTGGTTCTTTAGTTTGGTAACTGTGTAATATAAGATTGTTATTTATATTATGATGACTATAATAATTAGGTAAAAAGGCAAGAAATTAAAAAAAATCAAACATCAAATTAAAATATCCTGATATCCCACAATGTGATATTTACATGGCTGGTGAAGAAATGTCTTAAGAGTACAAAACGTGTATGTATAAAGTAGAGCAATTGCTCATGAAAAGCAGGCTATCTATTAAAGTGTGGGAGGCATCTGGTAAAGAGAGAGGTAGAAATTGCCCTGCAGTCTTTTTGCTGCTCTCTTTAAAGTAATGAACTTTGTTAAAATAACATAGTGTGCATTTTATTTTCAGCTTTACAGACTGTGTCAAATAGCTCTTGTGAACTGTAGAAAGCAACGTGCTGAAAATGAGAAATGTTCCTCTACCTTACAGGAAAAAGTGGGAAGGAGAAAAAGTGCATTGAAATATATGGGTGCATACAACTCCCAATAATTGAGAGGTGCATTGCTTGTCCCTCTCAGGTAGGAATAGGCCTATCTAGCTAGTTGCAGTGAGGGTAAAGAAATGTGATACTATTAATACTTGTCCTAGAAAAGACAGATCTACCATTTGAACCTCTACCAATTGTAACCAGGTTAGAATGCGAACCTGTTTTTTTACTCCAACTATTTCACCTTAGTGTCATATTGGAAACTATAACAGAATTTTAAAATCATCTTCATTATTATCTTATATGACTGTAATAATTACTAATGTAAATATAACTTAATTGGCCATAATTTTACAAGAAAACAATAGAATTAAGACTATTGAATGTTGGCCAGACGTGGTGGCTCATGCCTGTAATCCCAGTGCTTTGAGAGCTTTTTTGAACACTATGCTCACTTTTAAAGGTTTGTTCTGTGAATCACCATGTTATGATGATGATTAAACTCTGTTCTATGAGGAGCTGTTCATGACGTTTCTCCACTTGTTGGAGAAGAGTGCAGCCCTTCTCAAGTTCACTTTATTTTGTCATTTGAAAATATCCTTTACATAGTAGGTACTCAAAATGTAATGGTGATGATGATATTCAAATAACAAAACACACAGGAATGAAGAGAATCAGTATAGTGATGGTTTGAACTATGTGAAGATAGTGGTGATGTTAACACAGCATTTGAAAAGGAGAAACAAGGAGAGATTGGAGAAATGAAAGGAATGTGCTATATAAATGAGTGTATTGGAAAAGCAATAACTTACACTTATTGAGAGATTCTGCATGAAAGAAAGTGTTCTAAAGTCATAATACTTCCCAAGTTTATAGAGACTTAAACATTTTTTATTGATTCTGTGTGCTTGCAAGTAGATGACAGAGTACATATGCCTTCACTTGTAGATGGAGTCACTAAGATGTAGCAGTAGAGCTCCACTTAAGACAAAATGACATAGCACACAAAAGCAAAGGCTGTCATTAAAACTTAAGTTCTCTTGATTTGGTCTTAGATTCCCTGAAGAATGTGGAATATATTTGCAGTGTTTTTAAGTCTGAGAGAACTCAAAGCCTAAGATGATATAAATGTTTTTCTTGTTAGCTAAGTCAAGTCCTTTCTTAGTATTTGTCTTACTGTCAAATATATGAAAAATGATTTAAAAATAAACCTTCAACATACCCAGCCTGAGTCTGTTATGATGATGATTAGCGGCTGCTTGTTCCCAATGTCCTTCTGTTTGTGCCTTCTTCACTCTCACTCTCTGCTTTCATATTCACATTTTCTTTTTTTAATCTTTAATGAGAGGCAAAACACCATTTATGATTTAGTGTTGAGGAAAATTAACTAACATTTCAAATGTACCTTGAGTTAATAACCTAACAATAAAAAGAGAATTAAAACTACTATAGTTGTGGCCAAGCGCAAAGCAAAGTTTTCAGTAAGTGCTTCCTGTCCCTTTCAATTAACATAAACTGTAAGTCCAATTTTATATGTATTAGCATAGTTAATTTATTGTCATTTAAATGCTTTCTTCAAGAAGTTCCCAAAAATACTGTTTAAAACTCTCTCCATACTCTCAGTCCAGAGTTTGAAACATACTTTTCTTTCTTAGAAAAAAATTCGAACCTGTAAAATCAAGTGCACATTGTTTGGAAAACTAGGTAGACTAAAATTTAGCCACATTCCATCATTCCTTATTTCATTAATTTTTCATAAAAAGAAAAATCCCATTTAGGGACCCATAATTAGAAGTCTAATTTGATTATCAAGTAAATTTTTTAGGAATGATGCATTTATAACTGATATCTAAACCAGACCTAGTTCTCTCATATTTTGAAAATATGCTTCATTAATGTTCAATGTGTTATGGGTTTTCTGTTTTTATCTTTTACTGAATCAAACAACCAACAACTTGTGTTTTTGCTTTTTACAGAAAAGATATCACAATAAACAAACAGTGCAATTATCAAATATTGTTACTTTACCTTTCAGCTTGGTTGCCATGATATGTAAGCTTTTAAGGAGATGAATAATATTAAAGATCCAGAAAAAATATTGAATACAATTGGATATGAGTTCAAGAATTATCTTTGAAAATGTGACATTTTCTATTAACTTTAGAATACTGCAAAATAGGCAGATTGAGCTTCTGTTACCGGCTACTATTAACAAAATTTGAGCTGAGACTGGTTTGAAATTGAGCAATTCAGAGCAGTGATTGAGGAATTAGTATCATATGTCCAGTGCACAGAAGTTGATGACATATCACAGGGGCCCAATACTAATCTAATAATGTATAATATTCATTGAGCACATATTAAGAGGCAGACGCTATACTAAGCACTTTAGAAATCTATAGCAGAGCCAAGCCATTCCTTTACCACGAAAACTCATAGTCTTCATTATAGCTTGACATGACTAGGGTTCATTCATTAGATTGTTGACTTTCATATGCCTTCGTTGCAGCTCTCTGATACCTTTCTGAGATCTAGTAACTATTTCACATGATAGAAGTTGAAAACATTCTCCAAGTTTAGCACTTCAACACATTAGATTGGACTAAGTCACAACTGTTTGGGTTCTCTTTGTGTTTTTAATAATATTGCTTTGATTTCAACTGGCAACCACTATAAGTCTCAAGGGATTTAGCATTTCAGCAAAAAGGCCCAGCTTCAAGTCCAATCCAGGCACTGTTCTACAAACTGAAGTTGGAGTAGGAGGAACAAGAGGAATTTTGAAGGGAAAGGGTGTGTTCTGGGGTAGTTTTAAGATACGAGAAGGACTCAGAAATGACATGTTAACATCCATCACTTCAAGAAGATCATGGTCCAGTGATGGACCCAATTTGCCAAAGAATTTTAAGAGATTTTTAGAAATATAGACAGTAAAGAGCCTCACTGCCTAGGAGTGTTGGGTAGATTTCAGGGCAGAAATAAAAGACAAGCATTGAAACATGGGTATCGTGCCCAAAACAGGATGCAAATTAACAAGGTATATTTTTTAAAGTTGGGATAGCATTGTATATACCTGGATATAATTCATTCTTTTGTTTTTTGATATTTTTTCTCAGAAAAATTAAATTGGGTTTGCCTTTAAAATTTTCTATTTTGTGTTGATGCAGTTAGACTAAGTAGGCTGGGCAAAACCATTCTTAAACTCAAATTTGTATAATTTAATTTTAAAATAAACTTAAAAGTTAATGAAAAAATAACATTAAAAATATTTTGACATTCTCCACAACAATGCACGGCTGTTTAGAAGTTTGTTGTCATCAACATGCATGTATATATACCTAGTTTTTCTAATACTGCATGCAGAATTTTTACTCTATGTTTTTACTTAACGTTATCCTATAGACTTTTTTTGTTTTTTGTTTTTTGTATTTTTTTTTGGTAGAATCTCACTCTGTAGCCCAGGCTGGAGTACAGTGGCACGATCTGAGCTCACTGCAACCACTGCCTCCAATGTTCAAGCAATTCTCCTGTCTCAGCCTCCCAAGTAGCTGGGGTTACAAACACGTGCTACCACGCTCAGCTAATTTTTGTATTTTTAGTAGAGACGGGGTTTCACCATGTTGGCCAGACTGGCCTTGAGCTCCTGACCTTGTGATCCACCTGCCTCGGCCTCCCAAAGTGCTGGTATTATAAGGGTGAGCCACTGTGCTCAGCCAGACATTTTTATATTTTAAATTTCTTCCTTTTTGAAATATTATTGAGAATTTTAATTTAAGAATATATGTTTACATTTACATTTTAGAAAGAGAAATCCTATCTTTCTAATAGAAGGGAGAGAAATGAAAATAGAGACCCACAGTAAGTGTTTGCTGCCATTCAGTTTAAAAATGTTGAACGGTTTCAGAAAAGCAGGCCAATATGGGTGGTCTTGTGAGATTTATTAGTGGTAAATCAATCGCCGGTAAGAAAGAGAGAGAAATGGCAGGAAGGGGTTGAGCACTGAAGATTCAGATCTAGAAGTCTTTGTCCCATGTGTTGACTGTTGATGATATCACAGAAGAAGAGCTCAAAGAAAGAAGAAAACTCATGGGCTAGTTAAGCAGTCAGCCATAACACCTGATTCCACAGGTATCAGTGGTACTCTTGGTGAAACGGAAGATGAAAAGGCAAGGAAAAATGGAAACTATTTCCAATGTTAGCTGATAAACAGATGGAAAAAGAGTGATAATTTGAGAGATAAAGCAGTGAAGAAAAGGAGATTTGATTTAAATTTCTTTATTAGTTCTACGTATTTTTAAGATTGTACATATTTGCAAATGTAAGGGAATTTTTAGAGTAAAAAGAAGAATTTTATAAAACACTCAAAAAGAAATCAGAGGAGATAAAATTTAAAAGCCATGAGAGACAACACAGTGAATGTCAACTTATATTTATTAAAACCCACTTCTAAAGCATTGGAGTTTAAAATATGAATACAGTAAAATTGATTATTTAAAACAGATAGCTTTTTCCTTTAAAGAAGAAACATTTTACAAACAAGAAGAACCTTGTGTACAATGATCATTTAAGAATTCATGGTATCCAATAACATCTTTTTAACACAATTTTAAAGCAAAATGATATATTTATCGTCATTTCAAAACTGCAGTAAGATAATTTAAAAATTAGTGACATAGTCAAAAATATAAGGAAATTAGAAAAGAGAAATATTGGAAGTAATCAAAGCACATTCTCTGTGAGCTTCATTTATACTGCCCTGTATACTGTGATGACCATATTAATTTAGTTTTGCTTGACAAAACATGTGTGTGCCTTTGCGTGTGTCACCACTATAAATTCATCATCAAGTCAGCAGCCACTTTGTTCATAAGATATATTTTGGTGGGCTAAAAAGAAATCAGTCTAATCCTATTCTTTAATTCTAGAGAATTACCCTCTATTCTTTGACTCTTCTCTCATTTCTGAGCATTTATATTAAATGAAAAAAGAGTTCCCCATGAAAATATGTAAATCGCAAGCTTTTGGGGGGCTATCTAACTCCGCTTTTCATTCGGATCATGAGGAAATTTTTAAGATGCCTTTAAAATGGTATACAATTCTCTTAATTTTTATGTAAATATAACGAGGTGCAGTAAGTGAATGAACACTGAATTTAGAAACCTAGTACTTAGGTTTGAGCCTTGACTCTAACTTAGTTGTTGTATGATCCTGAGCCAACCTCCAAAGTTCTTTGCTCCTGAGTTTTCTCATCTTAAAAATGGAGTTAATCCTTCCTTACCACATTTGTTGGAGGATTAGATAAAATGCCAATGTGTAATAATAAGCCCTTCGTAAAGTATTTATCACGTTTCACATACAAGAGATTTTTCTCTTATTGCCTGTGCTCAGACCTACAGCAAAGATGTGGGTGGATATCTTCTCTTTTGTCTCTGGTTTAACCAGGTTAGAGCAAAACAATGTGGAATCACAGAATAGAGATGATTAGTCTGTTTAAGGGCTCTGAGTGCTAACATTAGGGACTGTCAATGCAGAGGGCTCTGTACCAGATTTCCCTTCCTGGGAACATCTGAGTTCCAGGCCCAGAGTGGAGAAGCCCTCCATGCAGCCACAGTATATTTGCCTTCTACCTATGAGCAGGGTCATTTAAACAGTCCGTTTCTGAAATCTATCCTGAAAATATTGGGAATTTCAAACTGAGCAAGGTGGTTCCAGGAAATGGCATATGGCACAAATTGAAATGATTTGGCAAGAGAAAACATACTCAATATACTGTTTGCTCTCAACTTATTTATTACTCCATATATATATTTTTTTAATTCCTGAGGCTGGGTGTGGTGGCTCACACCTGTATTCCCACACAGAGCTTTGGAAGCTTGAGGTAGGAGGATCACTTGAGCCTGGGAGTTCAAGACCAGCTTGGGAAACTCAGTGAGACACTGTCTCTATGAAAAAATTTAAAAAGTTAGCCAGGTATGATGGTGTCCACCTGTAGTCCTAGCTACTCAGGAAGCTGAGTCAGGAAGATCGCTTGAGTCCAGTAGTTTGAGGCTGCAGTAAGCTATGATTGTACTACTGCACTCTAGTCTGGGTGACAGAGTGAGACCATATCTAAAAAAAAAAAATACCGAGATTGTACCTGCATGTCCTTCTGAGCTATGTGCATACCCACACAATTCTGTGGGTGATATCTAGACCAGAGCTTCACACACTGAAGGCCTGGTTATAAATAAAGAAATTACTTAGGATGACTTTATAATATGAAACCAGGAAAGGGGGATCTTGTATTTTAGAGGAAGCAGTGTATCATCATCTCATTATAAGTATTATCTTGCTTGCGTAGGGAGAACAAGACAGGAGGATACAAAAGAAAGAAATTGACAGTAGTGAAGATGGCTGCCAGGAACTGCACAAGAGAGATGCTGAAGTTTGTTTCACCAAGTTCTGCCGGTTGGTATCCAGTTTGGCCCCTGCAATAGTCCTGCCTTCCCAGGTTCCAGGTTCCCCCACAGTTAGTTTGTTTTCTGAAGCCAAATTTCCTATAACAAGTTCATGCTTGTGTACTGTAAGGAGAATACCATTGAAAAATGTTTCCAAAGCAAGGCTTTTAGGTTCCTAAACTGGGGGTTAAAATAACAGTTAAGATGAGATAGTTTGGGGAAGAAAGGTGCAGCATTTTCAATAGGGCCTTTGATAATGTGAGGCATTCCCAATATGATATGGCTTTAGAAAGTTAACTTCCTATGTAAGATTCTATGTCTCTGTGAAACAAATAAAACTGTGGATGGAATGCAATTATGGATGGGAAAAGTATGGGTACTACTGGGCAGCTGTGGGGATAGAACGTTTTGTCTCTGCTTCAACCCTAATAACTCTCATGCTACTCCACTCTCTTTCCTGTTTGCGTGACTAAAATGCCCTGAATTCAGTTAAGGGCAATTGAGTTAAATCAGTTTCCTATCCAAATAATATTAAAGTAATGATATATGGTAGAAAAAAAAAAAAAAGAACTGCTTTGGAAACCTCCATTTTAAGCCTGAGAAACAGCCTGATGAAATTTATTCCCTTCTGCCCTCCCTCTGTGTTTGAGAAATGAAACAATGTTTTGCAGAGCGATGCATTCCTTTCCTTTTTCCTTATGCTCATATCTATCTTCTTCATGTTGGCAAAAGATCATTGAATTCCATTTCCGAACATCTGAAGTCGTACTCTTGCTGTAGTGACTGCCAGGTCCTGCCACAGAGTTAAGGGAGCTGGAAGGAGCCCTGAGAAGCAGCCTGCTGAGTAAATGGCTAATTAATGTAATGCACTTTAAAAAGTATTCATAATTAAAAGCTGTATTGGAGAGCAAGATGAAATCATTCACAGAACTTTGGCTCCGTTTCTCTCAGCATGCATGGCTACTTGAAAACAGTCTTTTAAACTAATCATTAATGGCCTGTAATGTAAATGTTGAATTTCATGATGAGACTTTTCTTTCTTTATTATGTTGAAAAATCAGCTGCTTCTGAAGCTAGGAAGAATAACCTTTACTTGTCTGATGTTTTCTTGTTTCTAAAATGAACTCATTGAAACTGGTATTTGGAGCATAAAGTGAAGTCCTACTCAGGGGTGCCTGGTGTAACTAACCATGCTGTGAATTGTACAACTCCAGGGAGTGTTATTTACCTAGGCAACAACAGGGCTAGGTCTCCAGAAGTTATGTTATTCAGTAGTCCTGGTCAGAACATTATTTAATAGTATATTTATGGCTCATTCTTCATATCATATCTTCATAACTGTACATCAGGTTTTTCCTCCCTGGTGCATTTGGAAGCTTTGAGGTCCAGACTTGGAACATACCTGTTTTTTTTTTGAAAAGAAGTAAGCAAAAACAGGGGATCTTTCTTCATTAGTCTGTGGATTCCTTGACAACAGAATCACGAATCACTTTTCTCTTGTCAGCGCTTAACACACAAGTAATGAATGAGTAAGGAAAATAACCTCTGAGTGGAATAATTTATTCCTTGTGTTCGAAGAATGTTGAAAAAAGTTGAGCGTGAACTTTTGGGTCCTCTTCTAGATGCCAAATATGCCAAATTCTTTGAGGCATTGTAGGAATGATCAGACTTGGAAAATTAAGTACAATTGTTACATATTTTGAGTGCTACTTTTGCAGGGTGCTTGTAAAGATTTCAAAATTGCATTGAAAGAATAATATGCTTTGGAAAAATTTTGAGGATTTTTTTTTACTGGTGAACTTTTGAATATTTTTCTTTCAGGAGAGGATTATGAATTCAAAAAGGCAAACAGTTATATGACTTTGTAAGCAAATGGTGATTATTGTTTTGTAAGAGTTTATTTGTATAATATTACAAGGATGTTTATGTTTTACACTGTAAAATAATCAAAACCTATTTTCTCAGGAATTTAGTAGGAAATGTAGGTAATAAGGTTTTGGTTGTTGACAGTGATGTTTATTTTGCAAATTCATTTTTAAATGGCTTAAATGCACAACTGCCATTATGCAAAAGCAAGTAGCAAAATAAAGACCGAAATCACCCATAAGGACTAATATAGTATATACGTTATATACATACATATATGTAATACATATATATTATAATATATACATTATATAGTATGTTAATATAAATTATTTATATATAAGATGTAATTTATAAATACACACCTTATATATATATGTGTGTGTGTGAGTGTATACAAACAGAGAGAGGATATATAGACCTTGAGCCCACAGGTCTACATTAAATCTTTTCCTCTATGCTTCTCTAGCACACTGTCTATCCTCTGTTAATTATATTTCCTTGTAATTGTTTATTCAGTTGTTTGTATTCTTTACAAGACTGTAGGTTGAATGAATGAAGGAGTTAATAACAAACATCTTCAGTGAGATTCCCTGGATTAAATCTTGGTTGTATTATTTATAAGCTCCATGACCTTGAACAACTTATTTAGTATGACTGGGTCTCAGTTTCTTGATCTGTAAGTTGAGGGGGGTTAATAGCAGTAACTACATCATAACTTTATAGTGAGAATTCAATGAGTTTTTAAATGTAAAACACAGAGAACAACAATTGGCTTATATTAAGTGCTTAATGTATATTAACACTGTATATTCCTAGTACACTATGATACATTATACTTTTATGACAGAACTCAATAAGCTTTTGTTGAATAAATTATACTTTCTATTATAAAATGAATGCTTAGGACTGGGTAGCATTAGAAAAGATATGTTAAGAAACAAACAAGAAAACACATTATTGCTGCCCCCAAGGAAATTAGAATATCACTGGGGAAGAAGAATTTTTAGTCATAAATCATTTTTCAAAAAGATAAGGCAAAAGGCAGTCAATTGGCTATACACTGGTAAACAAAGCAATATAGTTCAGAAATTTAGACAGCAGCTGGTCTGCTCTGCAGGAGCGTCATTGGAAAGTTAGGACCTGAACTATACCTAGGAGTATAGTTGAGACCTGACTAAATACAGACACATGAAAGGCTCCTTCTGTACCAAAGCCCAGATGGAGAACATTATATGTTCAGTTAGTGCCAGTCCATCTTTGGGTAAATTGGTCCTCACTGCAGCTTATCAATTGTCACTTTTGATAATTCAGACTTAAAAATCAGCCTTTCCCTCACCTTGGGAATTTAGCAAAGGCTTTGTATTACTAACTAGTATATTTCAAGCCCAATGTAAGAGATGTATCATTAGAGGGAAGGTAAGGAAAAGGAAGGGAGCAAACACATACGAGGGTTGAGTAAAGCCTTTTGTTTGTTTCCTTTTCTTCTTGCTCTCCTAAGAAAAGAGATCAATAGTAAACAATTTTCTATAACTCTGCCAGACAGTAACCTTTTCAAAAAGTTAGCAATGACTTTTGTGGTTTTTCGTTGTACATTCATCTTATATACTGAATAGAAACAGAGAACCGTCAATGTCCTTTTGTTTATTATACTCATCTCTAGCTTTCAAAATTCTGATGTTTATAATAATTCTCAGCTCACCTACTTTATATAGTAGTTACAAAAAATATTTCTTCAGCCCAGAGTCTAGTGAAATTTGTTTTTGTTTTTTTTTTCTCAAAATACCTACCTAACATCACTTAAAATGAAATAGATTGGTAGTTTCAACGTCATCTAAATAGGTAGGCAATTTTTTTTGAAAATGTCAATTTCCCATTCAGTTTTAATGAACTAGCAAAAACTAACTGTCAAACATGTTAAGAGTAGAAACAATAGCATCCCAAGCAAACCAACCAACCAACCAAACAAACGAACAAAAAAACAAAATATGCACAGATCTAGAGCTGAGAGAGAGCTTGATTTGCTTTAAAACTTGAAAAAAAAGGCCAATGGGGCTAGAGTGCAGAGTGCAAAAGGTAGAGAGAAAGGAAGGAGGGAGGGGAAGTTGGTAGCATAAGATCACAAAGGATTATGTAGGACGTGCCAAGGCATTTTTGTTTCATTCTACCTACAACAAGATGCCACCAAAAGGTTTTAGGCAAGCCTTAATTTAAGTTTTTAAAACATTGTGCTGGCTGCTATGTGCACAATTAGTTTAAGAAAAGTAAAATTGGAAATGGCAAGATCAATTAGAAAGCAGTTTATTAGGGGAGAACTGATTATGATTTGGATTACCTTGATTGCAATCAAATTGGAGCTAAGCAGAGGGATTTAAAGTAGATTTGAGGTCTATAAGCAACACTGTTGGATTAAATATTAGCGGGCGTGGAGTAGCGGAATCCGTATGAGTTTCAGTTTTGTGGCTTAAGCAGTTTGGCTAATTGTGGTGGCATTTGCTGATCTGGCAAAGCCTATGAGAGGCAAAAATTTCAGAGTAAAGTAAAATATAGTCAAGAATAGAGTCAAGAGCTTTTCTTAGGGCATAGTATATTTGTGATATCTGAATGAAATTTCAATAGGCTATGATAAGAAGATATTTGAATATATGAGCTTACTGCTAAGATAAGAAGTTTGATATAAAAATGTAAATTTGAGAAATGTGAGCATATAGGTTATATTTAATGCCACTGGAATATAGGAGGACATTTTAGGGACAGAGCAGAGTTACAGAGTAAAATTTCGAATCAAGCTCTAGTAACTTGAACACTTAGCACAGGCACAGATGGGAGGAAACTAAGATACTGCTCATTCCAGAAGAAAAGATCAGTTTATTTATAAAGAAGGGGAAAATGCTCAAACAGATGAGAATAAAAACGTATTATTTAGAGTCTGTAACATGAATTGTCAGGCAACTTGGAGGAGAGTTGTTTCGATCAAGTAATGGAGACAAAGCTAAATAGAAGTTGATTAAAAGGTTATGGGAGAAAAGGAAGTAAAGATAGTGTCAGTAGATTAAGGGAAGAAATGAAATAGATGTATTGGGCAGTAGCTGTCATTTCATATTCTGCATAACATTTTTCATTACTGTTTTGAAAATTTTAGTTACTACAACTAATGTAGGAAATTGGCTGGAGATCTCTGCTTTCCCACACGCTGACACTTAACTCTTTTTTTAAAAAAATAGCAAACTTAGTTATATTTTAATAGTGTTGTCTTAGGAAAGAATGATATAAACCTAGCTTGGATGTGCAAATTAGTAATCCTGACAGCTCATCTAAAAATCAGACTTTAATTGACTGAACTAAATGAATATAAAAGTTAATTTCAAGTGTAGGGCCTAAAATATTTGAGGTGGAGAGCAGATTTAACCTGCCCAGAATCCTGATTTCAATTCTACTCCTTTTTCTATCTGATACTCTGTCTGGACTGCTCGGTAGGAGCGTTATTGGAAAGGTAAGCCTTGAACTACAATTAGGACTATAGTTGAGACCTGACTAAATACAGACACACGAAAGGCTCCTTCTGTACAGAGCCCTGATGGGTGCACCTTGAAAAGTTGCCTCCTTTCCTCCTGGTTACCTGTTGGTACACTAGAGGAGTGTATTTAGGTGACCACACAATGCCAGGAAAGGAAATGGAGCCTCATGCATGATTTGTTAGTTAACTATTCATAATCTTATGTGCCTCTTAAAGGGACCTTAATTAAATTATTCACTCACAATCCCTGTCATTTTCACATTGTGAAAGCTATTTAAAATCTATTTTGATTTGTCTCTGATTTATCATTTGCTTAACACACACACACACACGCATGCACACACATGAACTGCTTCTTCGTAGTAACCTATAAAAGATTAAAAGCTGTTAACAAGTTTTAAATTTACTATCACTCAGGGTCATAATTCACTGTTTAATCACTAAAGGGGAACAGCTACAATCATTTCATAATAAAATACAGCATTCTTAGGTATTCTGCTAAATTACCTACTAAGAGAAATTTCCATCTATACCAGGACTAACTGCCCATACTAAAGGAAAACACAGGGGCTTAGGATTTATCTGCACTACATTCTAATTCTTCAAGCTGTGGCTATATTTTAAAGAGGTATTTTGTTTTTAATCTATCTAAAGGTGTCAAGCTGATATTCTCATTAATTCAGAGATGTTGGGCCTCTTCATTGCTAGGTCAATGAAATGCTCAGTGGGTGGCACTGTGCTGAGGGTCTCACAGTGAGATCAGGAGCTCTAAGTACAAAACCAGCTTCATACATAAGATAGCAATCGTTGAAGTCAATCTGAATTTCAGTGGATCTTTTCAAGACCATGCCAAAGATTTTAGCTAATTGCCAGTTGCACACTTCTTGTTTCATCGCCTGTATTATTTGTGTTATCTTTATTCTTTCTCTACCATCTATGTTCCTTACTTCAACCTACAAATAAAAAACTATTATGTGACTTTCGATATCAACCTCAACTAAGAAAACAATGACCTAAACAAGTTTTTGTTTTTGTTTTTGTTTTTGAGATGGAGTCTCTCTCGCACTGTCACCTAGGCTGGAGTGCAGTGGCTCGATCTTGGCTCACTGCAAGCTCTGCCCCCCAGGTTCACGCCATTCTCCTGCCTCAGCCTCCCGAGTAGCTGGGACTACAGGTGCCCACCACCATGCCCGGCTAATTTTTTGTATTTTTAGTAGAGACAGGGTTTCACTGTGTTAGCCAGGATGGTCTCGATTTCCTGACCTCATGAACAGTCTGCCTCGGCCTCCCAAGGTTCTGGGATTACAGGCATGAGCCACCGCGCCTGGCCCACAAGTTTTTAAATTACTTTAACCTAGCAAATGTACTAAAAGTCATTTTCTCTAGGTTACTTCTATCTGGAAGGTAACACTTGTTTGTATTCTATTCAATCTTCCTTTGCTTACAACTTTTAGTAAGAATCATTCCGTGTATGCATAAGCAGTAATGAAAGTGAAATATTTGTTAGATTTGTTTGCTTGACTGAGGGCCAAATTTTAATAGTTCTACCCTAATTTTCTTCACGTCTTTGATGTATTGACCAGAGTTCATCTTCATAACTACAATACTGGTTTTACAATCTGTAAAATAACAGATAAGTCAGGAAATCACTGTGTAAGATGTGAAATATAGAGCCATCATTCGTTCTGGAGGCTGATATGTTCACAGGACTAGTACAAAGAGACATCTCCACTTTGTGCCAAGGGCAAAGTATTTAATGTTCCCCATTAAATATTGCTGTTCCAGCGTTGGATGTGTTAGAGATTATAGGAGAAGGAAATGGCATCTTTAACTCTAAAGTCAACCATTGAAATCTGAAGCAAATTGAGAGTAACTAGAAGTAAATACCATTAGATAATGGAACATGAATTTTTAGTAGAACATGATGAAGAGTACCATTTTCACTTGTTCATATTTTGGTTTGTTTGTTGCTTATTATTTTTCACTAATATGTTTGTATCACTTCTCTCATCAAAGTCAAGATGCATTTAAGAGTGAAAATCGTGATAAAAACAACATAATATACCATTTGAATTATATACAGGTATATTTGTATATTTTTACAACTGTAGCTTCTATTTCAAGTGGAAAATGTCCTAATTAATTAGGATGTAGTTTAAAAAAACAATGCACACCATACCAGTGACATTTCATCTTCATTGGTTTCTTCAGGAAGAACATTGTTTTGCTTTAAGACACTGTGCTATGCAAAGTCATACATTTATATTATACAAGTAATTAACTGCAAAAAAGCAAATAACTGTCCCTTCATTGTTGAACATTTTGTACAATTTATAATGGGATTCTTAGCAATATCAGATGTTCAATATTTCTTAGGATGGCTGGTAAACAAACTCTTAATATTCCTGTCATAATTTTCTTCAGATCTCATTATCTTGGAGATGGTTTCTTTTCATCACTCCATTCCCAAATTTAGAACTTGTAACCAGCCAGTAGGTAGAGCATTTGCTATCACACTTGCCCTGTGTCAAATACTATTGGAGAAGCTGCATATATTTTTGGTATCTGAGCAAGTCAAAGTTAAGTTGAAGAAGATACATTTATTTTGGATTTCATTGAATATATTTTGCATTTATAATACCATATTCTTTATAGAAAATTATATTACAAATTATTGTCATATGGATAAATGGTCAAAGACTATATAGCCAAAAATCATAACTTAATATATAATTAAGTTGGTGCTACTCATTCCAATGTAGAAATGGCTCCAGGAATACCCTACTCCCTACCTAGTATCGTAACATGATGATGTCAGCCCAAAGGTCTTATCACAATGTAAATACGTCCTAAAACATCAAGCACTAAAAGTATGAGGATATGAAGAAGAAACACGTATTTAAAAGTGCAAGCAAGAAGCAGTTCTGTGTAATATTATCTCAATCATTAAACATGTAAAATAATAAAGGAAGAATTTTGTTTTCATTGACACGTCATCAAAAGAGAGTGTTCTCTTGCAAAATGTAATCCATAATGCAGTGTTTACTATCACAAACATATCATTCATAAGCTTTTGATAAGAGTTAAGTGAAATATAATTTGTGAAAATTTCAAGAAACAATGTGTACCAGTATTAAAAAAATCGAGACACCTGTGCTTTATACACCTCAACTATCAATAATCATAAAAATAACTAATTTCACTCAACTATAGTAAAGGATGGTTTAATGATCTTTCCATTACCTACAGATGATATTTCAAAATTATTGCCATATAAACAAGAAATTTAAAAGTAATACATTTTTTAAAACTAGGAAAAAAGTGTTTTATGAATATGTTAGGTAGTTAAATAATATTTTTTTCGTGGATGGCATGATATTCTTATGTTCGTCAACTATGCTTAAATAGAAATTTGTTGTGATTTCTTTTTTTCTTTAAACATGTATTTATTTTTATATTTTATTTTGTGCTTATATTTGTCTTTTCCTTTAAGAGTGTCCCCTGGTTTCACCACTTAGAGAATTCTGGAAGGGCTAAACACTGCTTAAGATATTTATATTAGTTCGTTTTCACGCTGCTTTAAAGAAATACCTGAGACTGGGTAATTTATAAAGAAAAGAGGTTTACTAGGTTCATGATTCTTCAGGCTGTACAGGAAGCATGCTGGCATCAGCTTCTGGGAAGGCCTCAGGGAACTTACAATCAGGGAGGAAGACAAAGGAGCCTCAATGCCCATGGCTGGAGCAGGAGGAGAGAGAACAGGGAGGTGCCAAACACTTTAAAACAACCAGATTTTGTCAGAACTCTTATCAGGAGAACAGCAGCAAAGGGGGAAATCTGCCCCAGGATCTAATCACCCCTTACCATTCCCCACCTCCAACATTGAGGATTACAATTCAACATGAGATTTGCGTGGGGACACAAATCCAAACCATATCAATATTCTAGGGAGCAATGTAACAATATTTACCCATATTAAGTTTAGGTCTTAGCCAAAGTTTCGGTCTATGACTTGGTAATTCTGATCCTAGGTATCTCTATTCTCCAATAATTCAAATAGCCTTTAACTTCCCTACTGTAGTAATAAGTTGAAAAGTGTCCATAATTGAGAAAATAGATGGAAAAAATATGGTGGTTTGGTATCTCATTGTACTACTTTGCAAGTAGAAGTAATAAACTAGATATCCAAGTGACAACACAGCTAGATCTTAAAAACAGCTTTCAGTGGATAAATACAATTTAATTCTCTAAATTCAAAGTAATCGTATGCACTTTGCCAAAACCCCCACACAAAAAAATCATAGACAGTGTCTACAGTAGGAAAGATGAATGGAAACAAATGAAGATATAAAACAAAACAGATGTCTTGTGAGAATTTTCCAGGAGCTGAAAACCAGCATTTTTCCAGAACCTGAGAAGAATGATGGATTCGCACTTGTTCATCTAATGTCAGAAAGAAAAAGAAAAAAAAAAACAGATTGATTAGTTATCATGAGAATAAATATTTATAGGTTGCAAATACACACTATGTAGTGTAGTGTTAAGTATACTGTAGAGATAATTATTCTTGGCTCTTGTTATATACAAAATTAAATAATCTGTGATGGATAATGATGACATATAATCAAAACAGACTATAAAAATATATGCAACTAAAGGAATGCATATAGTCCAGCTTCCTCCTTCTCTGCTTTAAGTTCTCATAGTCCCCAGGACCAACTCTTAATTTTTTTCCTTGCCATTTTTTCCCTCAATTTTTGTATTATTGTATTCCTACCACAAAATTCACTAACACTGGTAATTTAAATTCCAGAACTCTGGGAACAAATGCTTATTAGATAATTCTACCAACACAAACTCAACAAATGCACAGCTGAACTTAGTATTTTTTGTGCAAAATGTTCTCCTCAGCCTAGATATTGAGATTAACATTATTTGCTAAAAAATTGAAAAACTACTTGAGTCCTCCATCAATCAAAATTCAAATTCCATTTATTCCTTATCTTAGCACCTCTCCTCTATTCCCATCTACATCTTTTGATAGGACTCTTGCATTGGTTTCTTATGTTTTTCCCTTGTCTCCATCAATTGTATTCTCTATAGTAACATTCATCACTACAAAAAAAAAATCCATCCTTTTAAAAATAAAAATCTGAATAAAAAATACTCTTAACTTCATTATTTGGTTCTAAACTTTATTTGAAGCATCATCAACATCACCATATAATCACATTTTTAAAAATAATATGCATTTCAGGAGGCTGAGATGGGAGGATTGCTAAAGCCCAGGAGTTCAAGGCCAGCCTGGGCAACATAGCAAAACCCTTTCTCTATGAAAAACAACAAGCCGGGGGCGGTGGCTTACATCTGTAATCCAAGCATGTTAGGAGGCCAAGGCGGGCGCATCACTTGAGGTCGGGAGTTCAAGACCAGCCTGGCCAACATGGTGAAACCCTGTCTCTACTAAAAATACAAAAATTAGCCGGGCATGGTGGTGCATGCCTATAGTCCCAGCTACTTGGGAAGCTGAGGCAGGAGAATCGCTTGAACCCGGGAGGCAGAGGTTGCAGTGAGCCAATATTGCTCCATTGCACTCCAGCCTGGGCAACAGAACAATACTCCATTAAAAAAACAAAAACAAACAAAAAAAAAACAAAAAAAAAAACAGAAAAAGTAAAATGACAAAAACAGAAACAGTGCATTTGGAATTACTGTTCATAATCCTGCCATTTTTTTACTCCTAAATTTATTTACACATGCTATCTCCTCTATCCACTGCCTGCTCAGGCTTCTAGATCAAAGGTCTCTTACTCCTCAGTTGTTCTTTGATCTCATTTCTTAAGCAAAATTCTTCTTTGCCCTAGTATATTCTATTTTGTCCATAACAATCTCATATTATTTGCACTGGTTATATTTATTTATCTTTTATTCCTGTTATTGGAGTATAAGTCCCTTGAGAGCATGAACTGTGTCTTATATGTATTTTTTATCTTAGTATAGCGGGGCAAAATTGGTACTCAATAAATACATGGTATGCACATTGATGAACTATGAATAAATGAAACAACCTAAAATTCTTTCTATAGCAGAATCGATAAATTGCTGTGATTTCATACAAAGAATATTTTTTAATTCAGCAATAAAAATAAATTAATCACAGAAATATGATTTTAAGCAAAAATGCCAGACATATAAAGAAAAAATTTATAATTCTATCTATATTGTTAGGATTAAAAAAAAAAAAACTTTCCCTCTACCCTCTATGTTCAATGATGGAAACCTGAAAATTAAACAGACAAAAGATAGATTTAAAAGATTTTTTTAAAAATGTTTATTCATATTCATATGGAGCTACTAAAGAAATAGCTAGCTGGCTAAATGGCTAAAGTTAGAGGTTTATACACCTAATTTGGTAGAGAAACGGAGAAGGAGAAAATTCTTCTATGGGAATAATAAATAGGTTTCTTTAGCAAAGATAAATAGATTTTTAGAACAAACTGGAAATAAAAAACGTTGTTTATGCAGATGTCAGTGGTCTTTCTCTCATCTTCATGGCCATTAAACTATCCCAGAGAGGAAATTTGTGGTAGCTTGATTTCACAATATTGCCCCTTTAAGTCAGATAAGAAAAGCTCTGAGAAGGACTATTTTGGCATTTGTTGAAGTTTTGGCTGTATTTAGCTTAAAATAAACTTCGTACTAACTCTGGGGTTCCAAAATGGCTCTCCACAACATGAAGCTCAAAGAACAAGAAAACAGGTAAATTTATAACGTTAGCACTTAGGATATGGGTTACTTTTTTGAGGAGATGGAAGTGATTGAGATGGGCTATGAGAGGACTTTTGTAATATTGGTGGTATTCTATTTCTTGCTCTGAAGAGCAATTGTTTACTTAAATGTATTCAGGTTGAGGGAATTTGTTGAGTGATATGTGCATGGTTTCTGTAATTTTCGGTCCATATATTTTCCCCAAAAAGGTTATTAAAGAAGAATGAAAGAATAAATGAATAAATTCAATTTGATGTTTAATAGAAATTGAGTTAAATATGTTGAATAGTAGGTAGCAGAGGAATCATACAAGTGTGTAATCAGGACCAATGTGACTATCTTTATAATTAATCAAGTAAAGATTATGAATAGCTGATTTCAGAAATTGCTTAACTGGAGGAGAAATATTGACCTCCTACCTCTGAGATATATTGAGGCTCAGACTTATACAATTTATGATCTACTTAGCTCTGGACTTGGATGCCACAAAGGACCTTAAAACTATTTCCCAAACTGAACTCATCATCTCTTCTTCCTATTGGCCAGGCCAGTGGCATCACTTGTGTTTTCTGATTTGGTAAACATCATCATCAATCTTTCAGTTTCTCAAGTCAGGACGCTGGAAGGTAAAATAGAGTCATCCAAGCAATCAATACATTCTGTTTATCATGCTTTGCATATATTTCTTAGGTATGTCTATTTCTTCCCATCGTCACCGTCCTGTTCATGTCAGGGCCATCACCTCTTTCGCCTGCATTGCTATAGCATCCACCCAATTGTTTTACTAGCTCTGGTATTATCTTTACTGTCATTTATTTTCTATAATGCAGACAGAATGATCTTTCTAACTACCTCCAGGGAACTAAACAAAGGTGTATTGTAAGAATGCATTGCTCTAAGGTGAGTATTGTGAGAATAAAACAAATAGCTTATTAAAAAAAATGGAAAGTATAGGCCTCACATTTCTCAAATGCCACAAAGTTAGGATGGCATTCTATTTATATACATAAACAGTCTCTCTATTTAGAGTTAGCATTCAGGAAAAGAGATTGTTTCCCCAGTAATACATATTAACACATAAATTCAAATTTAATAATAAAGCCACACATTTTCAGATGGAGTAATTCTATTTGGCTGCTCTGTATAACAAAGACTATAAATTGCCGTATAATGTCCACAAATTAAATGCAGTAAATTGTACCTCCAAGACTGTGATGAAAATATATTTGAAGCATAGATATAATACACAACACCCCAGAAGTTTTATCTTGGCAATGACTTAAATATAAAATTTAAGTGTCAGAATGAAAAACTATGAGGGGTTATATCATTTTTGAAAACATTTTAGCAAAAATGTTTGACAACTAATAGATTAAATGTGACAATAAAAAACCACCACCTAATGAAAGAAGGTTTCACTATGAAAATTATGAGTAATATGACAATTGTCTTAAACTCTAAAGAGAGGAAGACATGCCTTTTAATTCCCTCAAGGTAGTAAATGTTTTATATCACAGGTATATATGAGGTTTTGAACTTTTGACATTTCAATGTATTATACCACACATAGTCAGAAAAGAAATTCCAGTGATTATGACTTTCCTATGAAAAATAAGTTTTAATTTACTGTATAAGAAAATCTGTGTTTAAAGCGATGTCTATTGAAGCTTTCTCTCAATTTACACAAGCCAAATTCTCTCTCACAGCATGATAATGAAATTTCATCTGAGCAACAAATAAAAGCTTCAGCTCCAAGAATATAAGAGACCTGTATTGGTATAAAGAGTATTTGTAGGTAGTATTGAAATGTTTCTGCTGTGCTGGAAACTAAATAATGCAGAATACGGCTAAAAAAGTAATGAGTAAAATGTGATAAAATTTTGATGTCTTAAACTGAACTTTTTTCAATGATTATTATTTTTAACATAAATTTTGATAGCAGTGGCAAACTTGTCCACTGTCTACAAATAAAGTGTGTTTAACAGATTTATTATTAATCATTTATTCAGGTATTTCAGAGAGATTAAGATATTTTAATTACATGTTTTCTTAAACCTATGTTTATACAAATGTGTAATATAAATATTTATGTTCCAATTTAGAGTTTTAAAGGTTTGCTAAAATATTATTAGAGAAAATGCTATGTAACTTTTTATTCCTGATAAGTTTATTTAAATATTTATTACCAAAAATTCTTGATCACTTAATTTCTACTTTCAGGCTTACAATTTTTACAGTTACATTTTTATAATTTTTGTTTTCGGGCTCATTTTTTTACATCAAGTCTGAATGTAAAATCTCAAAATATCAGATAATTAATTTCCATTGCAACATGTTTAACATCTCTTGACAACTATAAGCCAAAAATATTATTTAGTAAACACTGAGAAGCAATAACAAATGGCATTCCAAAATTTTTACAAATGTAATTCATTTTCTATTATTCCCCCCCAAAAAAATTGGCAAACAGGCTTATTAAAACAAAAAAACATTGCTATTAGTCTTGATGCCCAACAGAAAATGTACCCACAGTCCTGCACAAAAAGTTATCTCATTAAGATTCATCAAAATCAAGCTGTACAAAGAAGAGATTCTGCGTCTCTAAAATAGCAAAAATAAAAAATAAAATCTTAAAATAGAAGCCATCATAGTCATATATTCTTATGGGATATGTCAGGATGAAATAAATCTGTGCTTTGCTTAAACAGAATAGGCTACCAGTGGAGTTGGGAAATGATATGCCAACTGGTAGGTGGAGCAGATTTCCAGGAATAGAGAGAGAAAGAGAAAAGCAGCTACAGACATAAAAACAAAAACAAAAACTGATGTACCTTTTATGTCTCATAAAATTCACAAGGTGAGCCACAGATGAAAATAGATGATGCCCACTAACAAACAGCTAAGATAGTGAACCCCATAATCTATTGCTGCCCTCTGAGAATGAGTGTCTCCATGAGAACAATAGAAAATCACAGACTAATGGGAAAGACAATAGAAAGCACAGTGTCAGAAAAGCCTATGTAGGTTTATTCTACATATCAATATAGAAATTCTTAATTTTTATTCTTTAATTTTGATAGTTAGCTTCCTATGTCAATACTGAATATTGACTTTTACCTGAATTATATACACCTGGTATTAAGAATTTCTGGTAGTTTATTGGGAATGGCATTGAATTTATAAGTTTCTTTAGGCAGTATGGCCATTTTAACAATATCGATTCTTCCTATCCATGAGCATGGAATGTTTTTCCATTTGTTTGTGTCATCTCTGATTTCTTTGAGCAGTGGTTTGTAGTTCTCCTTGTACAGATCTTTCACCTTCCCTGTTAGCTATATTCCTAGGAATTTTATTTTTTTTGTGACAATTGTGAATGGGAATTCCATTCGTGGTTTGGCTTTTGGCTTGACTGTTGTTGGCGTATAGAAATACTAATGATTTTTGCACATTGATTTTGTATCCTGAGATTTTGCTGAAGTTGCCTATCAGCTTAAGAAGCTTTTGGGCTGAGACAGTCGGGTTTTCTAGATACAGGATCATGTCATCCGCAAACAGGGAGAGTCTGATTTCCTATTTGAATGCACTTTATTTATTTCTCCTGCCCGATTACCCTGGCCAGAACTTCCAACACTATGTTGAATAGGAGTGGTGAGATAGGGCATCCTTGTCCTGTATTGGTTTCCAAGGAGAATGCCTCCAGCTTTTGCCCATTCAGTATGATATTGGCTGTGCGTTTGTCATGTACTACTCTTATTATTTTGAGGCATGTTCCTTCAATATCTAGTTTATTGAGAGTTTTTAATATGAAGAAACGTTTAATTTTATTGAAGTCCTTTACTTCATCTATTGAGATAATCATGTGGTTTTTCTCTTCAGTTCTGTTATGGGATAATTACATTTATTGTTTTGCATATGTTGAACCAATCTTGCATCCCAGGAATGAAGCCAACTTGATCATGGTGGATAAGGTTTTTGATATGCTTCTGGATTTGGCTTGCTAATATTTTATTGAGGATATTTGCACCAGCGTTCATCAGGGATATTGGCCTGAAGTTTTTGTTGTTGTTGTTGTTGTATCTCTGCCAGATCTTGGTACAAAACTAGAGAAAACTATTTTAAAATTCATATGGAACCAAAAAAGAGCCTGAATAGCCAAGGCAATCCTAAGCAAAAAGAACAAAGCTGGAAGTATCACACTGCCTGACTTCAAACTGTACTACAGGGCTACAATAACCAAAACAGCATAGTACTGTTACAAGAAAAGACACATAGACCAATGGAACAGAATAGAGAACCCATAAATAAGACCATACACCTACAATGATTTGATCTTTGACAAACCTGACAAAAACAAGCAATAGGGAAAGGATTCCCTGTTCAATAAGTGGTGCTGGGACAACTGGCTAGCCATATGCAGAAAACTAAAACTGGACCTCTTCCTTGAACCATATACAAAAATTAACTCAAGATGGATTATAGACTTAAACATAAAAACCCAAACTGTAGAAACCAAACATATAAAATCCCTAGAAGAAAACCTAGGCAATACCATTCAAGACATAGGCACAGGCAAAGATTTCATGTTGAAGATGCCAAAAGCAATTGCAACAAAGGCAAAAATTGACAAATGGAATCTAATTAAACTAAAGAGCTTCTGCACAGCAAAAGAAACTATCAACAGAGTAAACAGACAACCTACAAAATGGGAGAAGATTTTTGCAAACTATGCATCTGACAAAGGTCTGATACCCAGCATCTATAAGGAACTTAAAGAAATTTACAAGAAAAAAATACCCCATGAAAAAGTGGGCAAAGGACATGAACAGACACTTCTCAAAAGAAAATATACATGCAGCCAACAACTGTATGAAGAAAAGCTCAACATCATTGATCATTAGGGAAATGCAAATCAAAACCACAATAAGATATAATCTCACACCAGTCAGAATAGCTATTATTAAAAAGTCAAAAAATAAAAGATGCTGGTGAGGTGGTGGAGAAAAAGAAATGCTTATAGACTGTTGATGGGAGTGTAAATTAATTCAACCATTGTGGAAAACAGTGTGGCAATTCCTCAAGACCTAAAGACAGAAATACCATTCCACCCAGCAATCCCATTACTGGGTATATATACAAAGGAATATAAATAGTTTTGTTATAAAGACATATACATGCGTATATTCATTGAGCACTATTCACAATAGCAAAGACAGGGAATCAACCTAAATGCCCATCAAAGAGAGATTGCATAAAGAAAATGTGGCACATATACATGATGAAATACTATGCAGCCATAAAAAAGAATGAGATCATGTCCATTGCAGGGACATGGATGGAGCTGGAGGCCATTATGCTTAGAAAACTAATGCAGGAACAGAAAACTAAATACAGCATGTTCTCATTTATAAGTGGGAGTCAAATGCTGAGAACACATGGACACATAGAGGGGAACACCACACACTGTGGCCTATTGGAGGGTGGAAAATGGGAGGAGGGAGAGGACTAGGAAAAGTAACTATGCATACTAGGCTTAATACCTGGGTGATGAAATAATCTGTACAACAAACTCTGGTGACACATGTTTGCCTATGTAATAAACCCGCACATCCTGCACTTTTATCCTTAAACTTAAAAGTTTTTTTTAAAAAAACAATTTCTGCCTTATATTTCAGATTTTCCTAAATATAATGAAATTATTAAGGAAGGATATGCCCACCTTCTTGTATCCTATGAGGCTATCTGAGGAAATGTAAGAAACTACTGTGTTGAAACTCCTAATAGGGTGAGTTCTAGTACTCGTGGTCAATATTATGAGGACAACCCATATTATTTCCATGTGGAATAACTAATTAGAACATCTTAGTTCACCAGCAACTTAGGTATCAAGATCCAACATAAATGATAGCCAGTTTAAGAAGAATTTACCAGTAGTAATGAGGAAAGTTCCCCAGTTAATTCAACTCAGTCAAAAATATGTTTTCCTGTTATTCTGATAGCAATAATGCCTTGGGCTGTTATATGACAAATAAATTCAGTGACAATATTGATGAGTGAGGTTGATAGAGCCATTATCTCTCTTCAGTACAATGCTAGAAGCAACCATCTCAGATCCTCTGGATGATATTCTAAACACCCATGGGACTGTTGGAACTTTTACCACAAGGTGGTGAGCCCAGGATGCACCTGATGTTAGACACCCGAAGAAGGAAGAACTTTCCCTCGAGTAGAACTTTACATTGCTTTTCTAGGAGAATAGAAGAAGCAATTCTGCACATGTGCCACTGAGATGATAAAATAAGTTGACACATAGAGTAATGCTAACTGCCCAAATTTTTCCACCTTAATTGAATTCTCAGAAGAGGAAATAGGTCCCTAATGATGAAATGACAAAAACAAAAAGTGAGTTCCGACTCATAAAAAATTCTACAAAGACTTGAGTTATTTATCTAGACATTTTAAAATAAAAACCTGACTTAAATATTTAAAATTTTTCAAACTTTAAATATTTTAAAATTAATATTGAAATACTATTAAAATTAAATATGTTTAAGTGTTATATGTTTGTTTGCTTTTACTTATATTTGGTTGTTTTATGGTAGTAATTTCCATCAGTCTATTTGAAACTTTTAATCATTTAGTAAATTATATATATTATGCTAAGCACTGGGCTAAGGGAGAAGATATAAATATACTTTATTAATTTATTGAGTAATCAATTATTAATCCAGACATTAATTTATTATAAATACATTAATTTATCAAAAATTTGAATACCATCTATTATGGACTCTGGAGATTCAGAGGTAAACAAGGCAGATCAGATTCCTGATCTATCAAATGTGCATTATAGTGAGCAAAACAGAAAACAAACAGGCAAACACAGTTTTCAAAAATACACAAAGATTATGGTAAGTGATGAGAGAAAGAAACAAGGATACATGACAGGGTCTGTGTGATCGTTTTCAGAGTCAACAAGGATGAGGTGAGGATCGTTGATCTGAGAAATTAGCATTCCATTCCACAGTCTAATCTGGGAAAATAAAATCTTGAAGGTATTCAGTGTATGCCATCCCAGAATATGCCAACCTGGCATAATGATTATTTTGAGCTGGCAGCAATTAAAAAATAAAAGCAGGCACAAGAAAAATTATTCTTGTAGAGAAGATCTGTTCTCCTCTCTACCAAGAAGGGCAGGATAATTCCTAAGCACCAGAGTCAACAACTGTAGATGCTTATCAACCCAGAGATGGCACCAGAAGAAACTGCTTAACAAACCTTGCTAAACCCAACCCTTATCTTCTATTAGTTCCCCCACATATTTATCTTTCCACAATTTGCAGCCCCTAGAATTCCAATCCTTTTCCATTGTCTTGTTACTTCTTTACAGACCTTTATTTGCTAAAATGCCATTCAACCCCAAGTTCTAACCACTACTTTGAGTTACTAAAAGGGGTAACTCTTTAGTTACGCGTTCTTCTGTGTATACGAGTACTTCTGTGTATACGAGTACTTCTGTGTATACGTGCAATGCATGCAGTAATAAACTTTGGATTGATTTTTTCTTGTTAATCTGTCTTTTTTCAGTCTAATTTGTGGGGTCTCAGTGAAAGAACCTAAAATAGGTAGAGGAAAAATAATGGTTTTTCTTCCCTTACAGTCCCAAAAGCCAAAGTCAGTAGTGGCAGCCACTAATAAGGAAAGTAGTCAAATCCCTTAAACTTGCTAATATTGCAAAAATGTGTCATACAAGGGTCTTGAAACAGCTGCTTGTTCAAGCATTAGAAAGCCCGAGTGTTTTTACGTTGCAGAAATGTGCTGGTTGATAGTCACAACCAGGAAAGCCATGTCTGGGAAGTTCAGAGGGTGGTGGTGGACACTGAAGTGGGAGCTGTCAGAAAAATGTGTAGGAGCCTAGAGTACCAAAGCAGATCACTTGGTAAGACTGGGATTTAGCAGAACTGCTGTTTGCCTTATTCACAAGCCACTCTTTTCAAATGCCCTTTGTGAGTTTGTATTTGGATGAAGAAAGGGAATAACACAATGATAAGATATTGGGCAAAAGCAAATATCTAATTTTCCTTTGTAAAAAACACATTCATAATCTATGGTTTTTATTTTAACTTGTGCTTCACATTTAAGGAAAAAAGAAACACTTAACATTTGCTAATGAGGAGAAAATAAAGGTGGATGGCAGAAGTTGCATGGAAGATAAAAGCACAGAAAAACAGTAGCTGTTACTTTTATTTAACATTTTACCAAAACAAATAAGTAAAAATAAGTGTGCTCTATATATTTTGTGACATACAAGTAAGGTTTGGCTTTCTCCTTACAGCCCAATTGATTAGTCTGGAATGTTCTCTTTGCCCTCGGCTTTCCTTTTTCTGACTAAATCTTGGTTTAGCTTTTCCCCAATCTAAGGTAAGACCCTCGCTGCACCCCATCTGTCTATTTTTTTAACCTACCCTATGTTTTCTGTTTTCTCTTCCCTACACTACTTTATGCTTGTCTGATCCAGAAGCATTTATTCTATGTTTTAGGAAGTGTGCCTGCCTAAAATAAGGCTGTGAGATCCATGAAAACAGAACCTGTACCTGTCTTGACCAGTATTGTGTCCTAAGTGCCTAGACACTTAGAAAGAGGGCCTTTTATAACCAATAGATAGCTAGTAAGTGTCTGACCAAAAAGTCACTAGGCAAGTCACATTCTTCTTTTATTCCTTCCTTCCTACCCACCCCATCCCTCTCTTTCTCCTTCTCTTTCTTTCTTTGGGCCCAAGTCATGTGATAAGCATTTCATATAATTATATATTTGAAACAGTATTGCCATTATAAAGGAAAAGAACACACTTCTGAGTTCAAGTTGTAAAACACAGGAGACTAAGGGTTTTAAACAATGAATTATCCAATATTTCAATACATCAGTGAGGCTTAATCCAAATAATTCACAAATGACTTCCTTTTGCTCTATAATTACAAGTTTTGTCTGTGCTCTTTGTTTCTGAGTGTTATTTTCCTTCGAGTATAGGTAAAAGAAGTTTTTCTATTTTCCCTTTTGTTTATCTCTCAATAAATTCAGTGATTCAGAAGAAGACCGCTTCCTGCACTCAATTTTATCATCCCTTTGATAAAGCAAGGCTGAGTCAGTAAATAGCACATCTCCTCTCACCTGTTGCTTTGTTCATTAGGAAAGACACAGAGCCCTCGACTGTAAAGAGCAGGCTTTAGAGAAAAGTGTCTTATATACTAATCAGAAAAATGTTACAAAGAGTACACAATGACCCTTTTATAATATTTCCATCTTATAATATTTCCAAATTACAGGTAACACCACCAACTCTGGGGCTAGACTTCTAGGTTCAAATCCCAGCTTTGCTCCTTAATTGATGTGAGCAAGTTATATAAGTTTCTTCATCCATAGAATGGGGATAATACTAATAACTATTTCACAGGATTATCATGGATTAATAAATTAAAAAATGTGACTTTTCAGAAAAGTACTTGACACATATTAATCATTATTATTGTGTACATTTAATTAACAAGAATAGATAAATTGCATCATTTCAAAGGTTTACACTTTCTTTCTGTGTCATTATAGTTGTTTCAAACTACTTTAGGGCAAAAATGAAAATGCCCAGAGATCTCTTCTGTTACAATTATATAAAGCAAATCTAAATCCATGTATGTTTTTAGATATATATCCAATACCCTAGATAAAAGCAGAAAATCAGAAAAAAATATCTATTTATAAACGCAAATGTGTAGATGGGTCTTTCTATGAGTAATAAACCTAAGTCAGTTGATATTAAATCAAAGTTAGAAAAGTTTCTGAAATACAGTGCAATACAACTCCAGTGGAATTCTCATTTTTTTTAAAGTAAGGAATGAGAGATTCTGAAAGCTGTTTAACACTTTACAGTACGATCATAGTGCATCATCACAAAGAAATTTAGTCCAGGTGTTGCGGTAATTGTGATATGTGGGGAAACTTCATAGCTCACTGACTGTCAAATGTGAATTTCTGTATGGGAAGTGATTTAAGTCTATTACACTGTAGAGTAAGAGAGTGAAAGCTCTAAATTGAGCTTGCAATGGTTATCAACTGTTTCTATTTTAAGTGCCTTTTATAGCTTTCTGGATATTCCTATAAAACAATATTTTTACAAGGCAAAATATTTAATACTCTAAAGTCAGTATACTTGCTGTGACAATATCAAGTATCATAATAAAAATAAGAGTTCAGCAATTTGAAGGTGGTTAGATTATTGCACCAAAACTTTAATATTAGATAAAGTAGGTGATTCACACTTGGAAAATATCTCAATTTACAAGTTAATTTTGTCTTCAATAAAATTTTCTTTTCACCATGTATGTGTTTGCTGAGATTAAAAATGAGAAAATAAATGAAAATATTTAAGTAAAATTTACTGTTTAAATTTTCTTCCTATTAAGAGATAACTATATTAAACATTTTTCTAAACTTTTAAGGAAATATCTTCAAAGCAGAAAATTAATATATTTCTGAAGTTGAATATAAAACAGTTGAGATCTTATCCAAAAAATTATGTTTTTACACCATTATATTTTCTTGCATACATAAACTAAAATAAAAGTAACATATAAAACAATGTGCCAAAAGTCACTGGAGATGTTCCAGATTTTTACTTTTAAGGACAAGGAGACAGCAAAGTATAATAGGCATGTTAGGACATTTTATCCTGTTTTTTTCTGACATATGTTATATATTCAATTTTGGGGATAAAAACTATATATAAGTATTGGTTTCAGGTGCTTTATGGCATATTCTACCCTAAATATGTTGACAAAAAATAATGAAATTCAAATTTGGATAATGTCCTGTATGGTGATTAAAGAATTACTGAAAATGAGGTATCATTAGTACTGAGGGGTCAGTAATACCTAATGAGATAGCACAGGGTGACTGAGGCATAGAAAATACCCGCAATATTTACTTAAAGGCATCTATTTCAGGGTGTTTCTCTTAGAGCAGTTTATAGTAATTGCACTGTCTTAGTCCATTTTGTGGATGGAATATCAGCAACTGGGTAATTTATAAAGAAAAGAGACATTTCTTACAGATCTGGAGTCTGGGAAGTCCAAGGTTAAGGGGCATACACCTGGTGAGGGCCTTCTTGCTGCATCATTCCATGGTAGAAGGTAGAAGGGCAAGAGAGCATGCAGAGAGACAGAAGGGGGCTGAACTCATCCTTTATCAGGAGTGCACTCCCTCCATAACTAACCCACTCCTGTGATAATGACATTAATCCATTCATGAGGGCAGCACCCCCATGACCTAAGGGCATCTTAAAGCTTCTATGTCTCAACACTGCTGCATTGGAAATTAAGTCTCCAACACATGAACTTTGGCGGAATACATTCAAACCACAACATGCACCCTCATTTATAAGTTTTGACAAAAATTTATTCTATTTCTGCGATTTACTCTAAAATTGTTTGTTTAATATTTACTATTCTACTTAACTTTGTAACAGAATAAAAGTGAAATTGGAAACATATATGCTATCCCCATAAATATAGATAACCTACATTTTCATTCCTTCTGTTTTTGACTGTTTTTCTCAGTCACTATTTGTGTCTTTTAACCTTTAAATTCTCATAGCACCCAATTAAATTCAGCAGGGCAGTATTCTTTTATTAAAAAATTGTGGTTAAATATATACAACATAAATTTTGCTATTTTAGCCATTTTTAAGTATACAATTGTACGCCATTAAGTACGTTCGCATTATCGTATGATAAAAGTATCATCACTATCTAACTCCACACATTTTTTGTCTTTCTCAACTGAAACTCTGTACCCACTAAACACTAACTCTATATTCCCCTCTCTCTTCAGTCCCTGACAACCACCATTCCGCTTTCCTTCTCTATGAATCTGACTACTCTAGTACTGCAAATAAGTGGAATTACACGATATTTGTCCTTTTTTGACTGGCTTATCTCTCTTAGCATAATATCTTCAAGGTTTATCCATGTTGTAGCATGTGTCAGAATTTCTTTCCTTTTTAAGGCCAAATAGTATTCCATGACTATTATGTGGTGTGTGTGTGTGTCTGCGCATGTGTGTGTGCGTGTGTGTGCATGTGCATGTGTGTGCGCACGCGTGTGTGTGTGTGTGTATACACTACATCTTGCTTATCCATTCTTCAGTCTATGGGCACTTCTATTGCTTCAACCTTTTGGCTATTATAAATAATTTTATAAAAATGAGTGTACAAATATCTGAAAATATAATGTTTCAATTATTTTGGGTATAGACTCAGAAGAAGAATTTTTAAACCATACGGTAATTCTACATTTAATGTCTTGAGGAAGCATAATACTGTTTTTCATAGGTCTGTACCATTTTACATTCATACCAGCAATGTGCAAGAGTCTCAACTTGTGTCTCAGTCCATTCAGGCAACTATAACAAAATACCCTAGATTGGGTGGCTTTTAAATAACAGAAATGTATTTCTTATGGTTCTGGAGGCTAGGAAGTCTAAGATCAAAGGGGTCAGCAGATGTGGTACCTAGTGAAAGCCCATTTCCTAGACACCCATCTTTTCACTGTAACCTCACATGGCAGAAGGGACAAGGGATCCCTCTGGGAACTCTTTCATCAGGGAACTAATGCCATTCATGAGGGTTCTGCCCTCATGACCTAATCACCTTCCAAGGGCCCCACTTCCAAATACCATCACCTTTGGGGTTAAAATTTCAACATATAAATGTTGGAAGGATACAAACATTCAAAGCATAGTAACTTCTTATTTTCTGTTTTTTATTATTATTAAGAATCATCCAAAAAGTTGTGAAATGTTATTTCATTAAGGTTAGAATTAGTATTCTTAATAGTTAAGAATGTGACCTCTGAGCCAGAGCACCTGGTGTGGAAATCCAGCTCTTATTTGCAACTTTGCTGTTCCTCACTTTTTCTGTGTATAAAATCAGGAAAGTACCTGCTTTCTAGCATTATTGTAGAAATAAATATATTAATATCTGTAAATTACTCAAAACAGTGCATGGCACAGAGTAAGTACTATGCAAAGGTTAGCTCTTATTATCATAACACTTTTTTTCTTTAAGCTTTCTCTTTTCTTTTTTAAATATTCATCTGGATTTTTATGGTCTCAACTTTTGCTCTATACTCATAATTACCTATTTTAGGACTTCTTGAATGTCTTTTATAATGGTCCTTGTTGTTTGCTGGTTGTTTCAAACCATTCTCATTTTCCTTACAGTATCCTAATTTTTCCTTATTTTTCTCCCTGAAACTACTAAGCAGAATGTTTTCCTTCAGAGCACACCTGCCACCATCAGACAGCTGTTTTCTTGTTTTCTAACATTTTCTTCTGCTGCTGCTACCATTTTCTTATTTTCTCTACAACCACATAAAAATTATCTGCTTTAGCCGCCCTCTCCCCCAATTTTTTTTTCTGCTTTTCTTACTAACTTCTACTTCTCTTAAGGCCCAGGTGACCCTTGGGGATGCAGCTGTCTGCTGTGCTGCACGTTTGCGAGGCCAACTCTCAGAATCTTTGCCTAGACTGAACTCTTTGTACCAAGGACGCAGCTCACAGCCCCTCACTGAGCCTCATCACCCACACCTGAACATTCTTTCCTAGCTTTTTACAGTTAGCTTCCCAGGGTATATCTACAGCACAATTTGGGGATTATACAGAATGAGGGATGCAAGCCACAGGTCAAATTAACTCCTTCCACCCAGGACCACAGTGCTGCCATTCACAAAGCCCATTCTGCCAGCTTTACTGGGACCAGTAATACATCCTTATTCATTTTATTAGGTTGGTGCAAAATAACTGTATTGTATTAAGCACAATTAAGTAATTTTATTAGGTTTGTGCAAAAGCAATTACTTTTGCACAAACCTAATAGCAGGGTCACAGAGTCTCCTACAGTCACTCATGTCTGAAAAGAATAAATACCTTTTGCCATTTACAAACACCACTTTCTTGTCCACTTTCAAACACATTAATGACTTTAAAAATTGGTCTCTAAGGCCATCCTAATGGAATTATTGTTTGTTAAGTAGATACACAAAATTCTTAAGAATTCTATTCTTGAAGGACTCCTCCAAATGTCTTCTCCCTTCAAAATAGCTATGCAGACAATTTTTCTTTTCTTTGACCTCAAATCCTATTTCTTGTACCAAACAGCTTCATGTAAGCCTTGCCAAAGGGCCCATGTGGTTGCTTCCCCTAGGACTGCTTATGCCTCACATGTCTGTGAGTCCCTGGCCTACCTGTCGATGATGTGCACTTATTAAACATTTTCTTATGTACATTGTGCTTATAAAAGTATTATCATAAGATGGCTATAATCTATGTTTATACTCAAAATGTATCAATTACTGAGGGTTTTTTACCATCATGAAGGCAAATGAAAAGCAATATGAATAGCAGGAAGAGTGTTAGATATGTGTTATTACATATCACTTAATATGTTTCTCCAGTTTTATACTTAGTAAATCATTTAGACATAAAAGGCATAAAAATAAATGAGACAATAAGAGCTCAAGTTTGTATAATAAGACCGAGACATACACACAAATAAGTATAATACATGACAAAACACAGAAGGTACCTTCAAAGCTGTGCTATGGGAGTTTCAAGGGAGCAGTTGCTGGGAGAAGCAGAGGAGACTTGGGACAGGTCACCAAGTCATTGTTTGAAATGCTCAACAAAGGTTGATTAAACTCACCATGAAGCATTTGCACCATAGTGTGCTTGTTTGGTTTGCTTTAGATGCATGTGTAAGTAAAGGCAGAATCTTAAATATATGTTTATTTCTATCTCACGTGAATGCAGGAAGTTCAGGGCTGGAATGGCTACTCTGAGATCATCATGGACCTAAACTTACTTTCTTTTAAAAATCCATCATACGAAACATGTGGCTTCTATTTCATGCTCCAGTATGGGTTTTCCAGCTCCAATCATGATGCACTCCAGTCAGCAGGAAAGAAGACAGGGCAATGTAAGGTTGTACCCTTTCTCTTTAAGAATATTTTCCAATGTTGCATATGCCAATTCCAATTTCACCCTATTGTTCAGAGTTTAGTTACATGACATCTATCTGTGTAGGGGGCCTTTGCACAATTCAAGAACCTTCTTATTGAAGGAGAAGAAGAACAGGAGGAAGAAAGAGGGGGAGTGGGAGAGGGTAAAGGTGAAGGAGGGATGGAAGAAACTTTAGGAGACAGTCACTGAGCTCATTTTGGTACCTACATACTCATAATATCTTTAGACTTAGGCAAATTGCTTTTTTGATATTGGAATTTATAGGTAATATAATATCCAAAATAGTAGTACTTTAATGCTTATATGCAGATTAGTATTGGGCTAACCAAGAGTATAGTGAGAGACTCATAAAGTTCAATTCATTTTTTTTAAATCAGAATTATGCTTTGACTTGATTTTTAAATACTCTACTTCATACATAATGATAGTGAGAGAAAATGGCATTTATTGTTGCTTTTTAAAATATGTCTTCAGGCTAAGAGAAAATCTACCATTCCTATACGAATCCACACTGTTAATTACATTGCTGTTCTGGTGGTGATGATTGCTACTTTATTGGTTTATAAAATCCAAAAATGTCTTGGAAACACTTTAGAAAAAGTAACATTTACATTGAGATATTGTAGCTTCACATGTAGTTGTGAGAAATAATAGAGAGGTCCAGTGTATTGTTTACCCAGTTTCCTCCAATGATAACATCTTTCAAAA